>NC_000003.12:105523755-105826786 GCF_000001405.40 Homo sapiens
AGGGTAAATACTGTTTCTCCATCAAGACTGGTTAAACTATTCCATGTATAAAGGTCAGCTACATCAGTTTTGGTTAGAGGTGTGGACATTTAAAATAGGTGGATTAAAATAAAGAATATTCCAAAGATAATTGCCCAAAATATCCAAACCAGTATTTGCAGCTCAAGTGTATACCTGCCGTGATGGTTATCTGAACATCATTTTGTACCTTTGTTTGCATTTATTTATGTTTTATTTTATATTAAACATATGCAGCCCATGTAAGTTTCAAAACAGTTAATAATTCTATCTTCTCAATGAAAAAAAAATCTGATTCCTAGAGCTCTACCCTTTCATTTTTACTCATTATGGCTTCTCTCTTATGAAGGATTTTCTGTAATCAAATATTTACGTGAGACTTGTATAAAAATTATTCTTCGTAGACAAAAAATATAGATATTGGTAGAATATGGCCAAGGAAATGTTATTTTGAATGTAATCCTGAAACATCTGAATATGCTTGTGTTTAAATGTATTATTATTTTAATTTTTAGGAAAAGCCCGATGGCTCCCCAGTATTTATTGCCTTCAGATCCTCTACAAAGAAAAGTGTGCAGTACGACGATGTACCAGAATACAAAGACAGATTGAACCTCTCAGAAAACTACACTTTGTCTATCAGTAATGCAAGGATCAGTGATGAAAAGAGATTTGTGTGCATGCTAGTAACTGAGGACAACGTGTTTGAGGCACCTACAATAGTCAAGGTGTTCAGTAAGTAGTCTGCAGCAGTGTCACTGCTAAGTGGGATTGATGGCCAGTACCAGACCATGTTCTTTAGAAAGAAGACTGAACTCTCTGTAGTGTCTCTATAGCAGGTATCTATATAAGGGGACTTAAAGAGATCTTCATTCTGCTCATATATACTATCAGCAAAGAAAACAAAGAGTATGAAATTCAAATAGGAGATTTGCAGTGAGGAACTAAAATAATATTCTCTGTTACTTTGTCATGTAAAAATGTCGTGAGCTATGAAGTACTACTACTGATAACTAGCAGGTGATCTTAATTTTTACTGACATGTACAAATAAGTGTTGTGTGATACATACATAGATATATGATATATATGTAATCATGTATATCACGCATACATATACATGTATTTGGCTGAACCAAATGAAATTGCCATTTTGCTGCATAATAAAAAAATATAAGCAAATTCAAACTATATTTTAACAGAGGTATAAATTTTCCATTTATATATATCCACATATATAAATATCCCATATATATCCACATACAAATATTTTATATATTATATATATTAGAGATATAGATACATTTCCATCCTGACCTTTATTGACTGGTTATTGATTTAGATTTCAAAAAGTATTCACTTGCTTTAGAAAATTGTCCTAAAATTAAAAAAACTCACTATACCCTGAATGCTTATGTGGGATACACCAAGGGGAGAAAGTAGAGTAGTGATGGAAGAAGAGAAAATTGTAGAAGAAACTTGGAATAATTATAGTCACTATGACAAAATTACTTTGCCTAATGATAGCATATAGTTAATGTTACTGTGCAAATAACTGTGCAAATGAATGACTTGAGAAGTTATAATTAAAGTATTTCATCTTTTAAAACTCAAATAAAAAGTCCCGCCTCTATTACTTCACAATATTTTAGACACTACAGGGAACGAAACAGGTCTCAAAAGTTTCAGAATGCCAGTCTTTCAGTCTTTTTTAATTAGGGAAGAAGGTTTCACTTTACAACTTTTTCCCCTCTGCTTTCTGATAACTTGACAGCGCTTAGAAATTATTAAAATAAATAGGGAAGAAGGAAACCCAGAGGGCCTTCCAACTACAGCAAGTAACTATGGATTTTTCCTGTTTCTCTTGTAATAGCCTATGCAACTAAGTAGGTCTGTCCCTCAAGTATTTATACGGACTTCAAAGCTCCTATGGGCTCATGATGCAGATTCAAAGCATGCTTATACTATCAAAGGAAACCTTTGTTCCCTAGAAGAACCTTGTAAGAGCATATTACATGTTTCAGTTGATTACCTTTCAGCTTAGAAGGCACTTTCCAGAAACCATCCACACTTCTCGATCGTTGTATGAATCAAACCAAGTGCAAACCAAGTGTTTGCAGTCATGCCTGTTTCCATAAAACATCCCAAATAGTCTGCATCCTGCATTTGCCAGTGGCCCATGTATTTTTTTCTTTTCTTCTATTTCACTTTCATGTTATTAGAAAGATGAATAGTGCACTGCTCAGGACACTTTTCTAAAGCGAGTAATCAAAAAGTTTTTTGGTGATAGTTATAATGTCATAATATAACCAGACATCAAAAATGGACCACAGTAGCTACAGAGGTTAAGTCACAGCACTCTAATGGTTATATGTATTAATTTGTCATTGTCAGGTTTCATTTTTAAGGTGTTAAAATTTTCCTACACTGAGATGGTAATATACAAGGGAGTTGAGAAAATTCAGTTTGTTTCATTTGGAAGAATTATTTGTGACAGTTTTCAAAACATTTTGTAAAAAAAAAAAAAAAACATTAAGCTATTCCTCATATGCAAGAAATCATACCTGTAAATCAGGCCAAATCTGATTTTTTCAGAAATCTGAAAAAAATTCAGCTGGCCTAATTCAATAAAATTTATCAGCTGATTTGGAATACAGGGAATTTCTATTATTGTGAAAACAAACTCACACCCCACCTACCGCCAACACCCCCCTACTCCCTTCTCTTTTTGATGTTGTTGAAAACAAAGTGATTCTCAGAAACAGAATTTGCATTCCAGGCTGTGGGCCAGGGAGAATTTACATAGACAAGTTACACACTCTTGAAAATGGTGTTTTATGCTAGAAATCGTGAGACCCTCCAAATCCAGTAAAATGAACAGCAAAGCTTATGATAAAGACAATGTTTACAAAAAACATATAGGGGCTTTGGTTTGTTTTTTTGTTTTGTTTTGTTTTCAATGAATTTACTTTGGGTCACTTTCTGTGAAGCAAAAAGCAGCTGTGACAGGGAGACTTTCATTCTCTGCATGTGTATATTGCAGTCACTTAAGAGTTACTAAGCCCATCAATCAGTCCTCTGTTTCCCTCTGTTGAATCACTTAGCAACGTGCACCGTGTACCATAGAATCAAGTGTGGTTAATGGGAGCCAGTCTCAGATCAGGCTGCTGCTGATTGCCATCCTCATGAGCTAAGTCAAATTGTTTTTATTCTAACTACAGCCCCTGGCAAATGACCTTGCTATCTTTAATGCAGGTTTGCTTGTTTAATTTTAAGCTATTCCTCATATGCAAGAAATCATACCTATGAATCAGCCCAAATCCAAATAAGTGGCATTCTTAGTCACCACTAATCAGCTTTTTTCTTTTAGTTGAATGGCATCAAAATCAAACTGTGTTTTTATTTAGTGCACATTTGAGGTTAATAAAACCATTCAGAAGCAAGTGTCAGCCTTTAAAGGTGCCCAAAGATTCGTTCTAGTGATTGTGAAAAAGGTCTAGAAGTCAAATGGGTACCCAGAGAGCCAGAAGGCTGTTGGTGAGATGGAGCAGTCACTGAGCGGGTCACCAGGAGAACTTACTTTATGAGATCTGCTGCTAATTTCTGACTTTGGGCAAGTCACCTCACCAGTCTGGGGCTAAGATTCACTCCTCATCAGTAAAATGAATACTTTGGATGAGACGGGAGGTTTTCCCATTCTGATGCTAGGATCTTGTTCATGAGTTAATGAAGACAGTTGAGGAAGGTAAGGAGCTATTTCTACTTGATTAGTGAGGCTTCAGTCTATTTCAACATTTCAAAGTTTTTCATGATAATTTGTTCATGAAAAAAAAAAGAAAACAGAGGAGTTGCTCCAGCTCTAAAAAAAATTTGAAAACCACACCCTGTGCTAATTGCAAGTCTAGTCTACTCTGGTGCTGCTCTGTGGTATTGCAGACATAGAGTCTGCTCTGTGGTACATATGGACCAGGTCTTATGATGATGATAGGCCATGTTTAGTGGCTTCACACAGAGGTACTTCAGAGCTTTTATTTGGATTCCTCCCACTTGGATACTGTTCTGACTGCTTTATCAAAATTAAGTGTCTTTGCTTTCACCCTCCTCCTAAAAGTCATTCAACCTAAAAGTAAAATTTTGGGGGGCATTGAGGGGGGAGGAAGCAGAAAATGTTCTGTTTAACAATGAGATCTACACCAGATATTTCATTTTGATTATTTAAATATAAAAGATACCTTTTGCTCACAGTAGTTGGCTTAAAGTACTTCATGATTTATGAGGGGTGATTGCTGACAAAGTACTGGGAGGAGCCGTTTTGAGTCAACACGACCATTTGCATCTGCCTTCACTTGCTCTCCTCTCTTATTAAATTGAGCTATCCTATGTGTGGGTTTTTATAGTAATACTAGAACACTGTGAGTCATACAGAGCAGTTGTGCCGTCTTCACTACATTCTCACCTTGCTGTGAGCTGGCTACATGCCAAAAAATATACATTTTAGTAGGTTGCTGATTTTTAGATTCTTTGAAGGCTAATGTTCATAGCTCTTACTAGCAATAGTCTGGGTATTAGAACAAAAGGAGCTGTCTATTTCAGTATATTTCTTTCTGACCACTCCCCAGCCCCTTACCACAATTTCTTCTCCAGCTATAAAATCTCCTGTATAACTGCAGATGATATAAAACAAAAAGAAAAGTAGAGGGAAAAGTAAGGGCACTATTTATGAAATGTTTTAATTGACACTAAATATTACATGTAGCTTAACTTTTCACTATATATGATCAGCCCTTAATGGGTATTAGTGAAAGCCCTACAATTTACTTGGTTGAAAGCCACTATCCATAGCAAGCTAACACAGGAACAGAAACCAAATACTGCATGTTCTCACTTATAAGTGGGAGCTAAATGATGAGAACACATGGGCACATAGAGGAGAACAACACACACTGGGGCCTTTCAGAGGGAGGAGGGTAGGAAGAGGGAGAGAATCAGGAAAAATAACTAATAGGTACTAGGCTTAATGCCTAGGTGATGAAATAATCTGTACAAAAACCCCCATGACATAACTTTACCTATGTAACAAACCTGCATTTGTACCCCTGAGCTTAAAACAAAAGTATTACAAACCGAAACCATTTGAGTCTTAGCATTATATATCATTGTTCAAGATACTGGCACATACTACATGTTGCCATGAATATCAGCTGCCCCTGTCTCCAACACACACATGCGTGCACACGCACACACACACACACCTTGTAAAATACTATCAGATTTAGAATAAACACTGTAAGATATTTTTAATCTCCCTATTCTATAATTTTAAGCTACCATAGTGTGGCCCTATTATAATATAGCTTCTAACTACTTAAGATAGCCAGGTCAGCAAAAAAAGAAAATAAACAAAGGCATGATTTTTCCATTTGATAAATATTCAGTTGAATGATTTAGAGAAACTTAGCCAAGAAGACTCAGAAGCAAAATTTGGCTTAAATCATTGCCCTTGACTAAATTACTTTAATGATGCAAGTAAATTTGTAGCATTGCTTTTCCCTTCAATTCTATACTTGGTTATGAATCTTTGAATCATGTTAAGATATAATTCACATAGACTATTTTTTAACACTTTGGAATCAATATGCAATTTTGCTAAAATAGTGCATGTCCTCTTTTATGGTCCTCCAACTAATACTCATCAATTGTCACAACCTAATATAAAAGAAAATTACATTCAAGATACATAGTTAATATAGAGGACTCAAAACAAACCTTTAAGGAGAAAATAACTCAGGAAAATGAAATAAGTATTACCATTACATTCACAATACTCACTGTGACCCTCTTTTCCAAATAGAAAGACGAATCATAATGTAAACAGGATTAAGCTTTAAACATCCTTTCATCAGGTTTCCTTAGGTTTGCTACAGTTTCATTTCATTGAAAAAATAAGGAATTTTATAAAGCATTTATGGCAACAAAACACACATGACCATGAGTAAAGGACCAAACACTGAAATACAAAGTGTTTATGATTATGGGTGCATTGATAAAACATTACAGGGTTTACAAAGCAAAGTAAAGTTATACATTTTCTATTAGAGAAAGAGTATGTGCACAACAGTCTGGATATTTTACTTTGGTGAACTGGAAAGTAGTGAAACTTGGCAAAGCGACCCACCAAATCTGTCTATTTAGAACCTAAATTTATGGGGAGAATTGTCAAATATCATCACATATTCCAGGCATAGTACTCTTGAAGGAGAAACTAAGAATGTTTTGACCTTTTTTTTCTGTTCATTTTGACTCTTCATTGGCCACGTAAATTAACTGCATGTATTACATCTATTGAGCTCTCAGAGAGGGTGTCACTAAATAACTGATTTCAGTTTCCAGAAAACTTTGACTTACTTACACCCCAAGAATTTTCTTTTTGTTTAAATATTTCAGATGCATTCTTCTCTCAAATGTATTAGATATTTGCCTTTTTAAAACGTGGATTCCAAATAAGATTCAGTGTTTCATCAATAAATCAGAGTTCCAATTATGAACATTAATAACATTCTATTAAAATAGTGATAATGTCAAGGTTTACTCTTACGTGAAAGGCTTTAACCCCCACACAATATGTTTCCCAGAAACTGGTGTCTATTTTGAGAAGCTTTTTTTTCTTGGTCAACTTTTTATCATTTTATGGTCACTATCCTACCAATCAGGTAGTCAAGTGTCACTTCTAGTTTGTGTTAATGTTAATTTTCTCTGTTGTGTCTTCCTATTTTTCTATATTTATTTTTTCTATTGTTCTATCTTGCTTATGTTTTGTTCCCAATCAGTGTCTTTGGAAACTAGAAATCATCATTGTGAAAATTGTATTTGTGGAATTATATTTCTAGAATTAATAGTTAAGTAGGCCCTCTTATAATTAAAGAGCATGAGTTCAACACATGGGAGGATTTATTGTTTTTGTTCATTATTCTAATATCTCATGTAAAGCATATTTATGAGGGGAAATTAACTCTAGATATTAACCTAAAGAAGGTTACATTTGTTTCTCATATAATCTAAAGATATCCATTTTGCTACCGCAGAGACATTTTGTCATTTTCCCTGTTTTCTATAATGATCTAGGGAGGTAACATGTCTAATAACTGAATTCCAAATTGAGTAATAATTATACAAAAGCCAATTTAGTTTAGTTTGGTAATCAAAATTAAAAGTATTAGGTGGTAAACAATAAGACTATAAAAGAAAAAGTAGCTGATTGTTTAAATACATTTGCTTATAAGAAAATAGAATAATTTTGGTCCATGAGACTCACAAACATCAGTGACAATGAGGCAATATACTTTTTGTGTAAACTAATTGTTGGAGCTATTTAAAAAGCGCAAAATCCATCATTGATAGAAAATAGCAGCTAAGAATAAAATAACTTAAAATCAGTTTAAATAATAAATTGTTGCTGCAACTTTTAATCAATTGCTCCTGAAGTCTTTATTAAAATTTATGTTTCTTAGAACTACCTATATTTAAAATGTTTTTGTCCATCATCTCAGGTTCCACATTTGAAAGATTTTCTCACATTTACACTTTCATATTGTGACTTGGCTTAAGAGGTAAAGTTAGAGATATTTCAGAAATTTGGGTTTATAAATTCCTTAACTTGCTTTCTATTTCCCATGATTTTAGAACAGTGTTTCTCAAACTTTATGGTGACTGAGAATCCCCTAGAAACTTGTTTAAAATGTAGAGTTATGGGATTTTTTTTTTTCAGGAATTCTGATTCAGTAGGCCAAATAGGGCTCAGAAATCTGAATTTTAAACAAGTATCTTTGTGATTCTGGTTCATGTAAATTAATGTCTTCAGTTAATGAGCTGGAAGTTACTGATAAGTAAGAAGTGCTCATGGTAATCAATTAGAGACAATATATCCTATATAGGACATTAGCCCCTGTTTCACTATCAAATCCATATTCACTATTTATAAAGCATTCAGAAAGCATTATTTATATTTTATTCAAAGGAATTACAAGCACTGAAAATAATATTTAAGATAATAAATATTTGAAGGGGTAGACCTATAGATTCCCCAAATCCAGATTGTATAACGAAATCTATTTTTATTCTGTTGCTTATTCTTCTGTATTGAGTAAATGAATTGTTTTTGCTGTGAATCAAATCACAGAAGTCCCGTTTTTCTTACATATGTACTTAAAATCTTTCTCTGCTTAACTTTAGAGCAACCATCTAAACCTGAAATTGTAAGCAAAGCACTGTTTCTCGAAACAGAGCAGCTAAAAAAGGTAAGAATTGTTTTTGATTAATACCTTTATTTAGCCAGTGTTGTAAGTGCCTTCTTCTGACCTTACATTCCAAGACAAGTAAGAAAGGCTTTGCTCTTGTGGAGATGACAGTGTTGCAGCTACCAATCAGAAATTATCTACAAGGCACAGAGGGTACAACATGCTCACAGTCTCAGGTAACCATGAGGACATCAAGGAAGGTGGGGTCATTTCTGAAAAGAGGAGTCTTTCTCATTTGAATTAATGGATTGTTTAATAGAAGGATGAAGCCAGTTAGCATGATTCATGCCTGTAAGCCCAACAGTTTGGGAGGTTAAGGTGGGAGGATCACTTGAGCCCAGGAATGTACAGCATGGCAAGACCTTGTTTATAAAAAATATTTAAAAGTTAGCTGGGCATAGCGGTACATGCCTGTGGTCCCAGCTGCTTGGTAGGCTGATGCTTGGTAAGGAGGACTGCTTGAGCCTAGGAGGTCAAAGCTGCAGTGAGCCATGTTTGCACCATTGCATTCCATTGTGGACGACAGAGCCAGACCCTGTGTAGAAAAAATATATAGAGAGAATGATGAAAGATGAATAGATTTTCACCAAGCCAAAGGTAGAAATGGCTTTCCAACAATATGAAATAATAGGATGTGAAAGAGAACGGTGTGTTTGGGAAACAGCAAATTTTGGCATTGATGAAACTGGGTGCCAAGACAGAAAACAAGAAAGGATAGAAAGAGATGAATCTGGAGAGGCAAAGAAAAGTTGGATCATGACAAATCTTACATACTAAATAGGGAGTTTGGACTTTATTCTGTTGGCAAATTATGCTACTGAAAGATTGAAGTAAAGAGGTGAGATCAGATTCGAACAACACATTAGCAGATATGTGAAGGGAAGCTGTATTAAAGTGGGGGACAAAGTTGGAGTTCCATATTGAATAATAATGTAACTAAAATACCAAAGTTTTCCTTTGTTGGGAGATGGAAACCCAAGTCCTACATTCTTTGTGTCATATTAAATTTTACTGCATAAAATTATTTGATGAATACCAAATATTAAAGTTAAAATACATTTAAAGAAAGTGAGGGGAATTATAGAGCATGATAATGTATATCCTCTTGAAATATATGTAGTATGAAACTGGAGACACAGCCCCATTTTAACACCAAATTATTCTTCCGTATGAAGATCTATGATTCATGGTAATAGTCAGTGTTAATAGAGTAATGTTATTTGGTTAATGTTAAAAATGAATAGTGTCAAAATGAATTTGGCAATGCTTTCAAATGAATGTGATTTTATAATAGTGACACCATCTATTGCACATTTAAAAATCGTCAAAAGTATATTTTCAAATAAATTGTTAAAAAGGTCTTAAAAAGACATTGTTTTTATACCAGAGAGCATGTATTCAGTCTTTGGTCAGTGTTGGAAAATAAACGGGTCAAGAAACCCTTGGAATAACTCTGCATTGCCTGAGTTTCTGGAGTTTCCAAATTGACAGCCCCTGATTGAACCAAGGTAATAACATTGCCTTTTTATTTTGCAGTTGGGTGACTGCATTTCAGAAGACAGTTATCCAGATGGCAATATCACATGGTACAGGAATGGAAAAGTGCTACATCCCCTTGAAGGAGGTGGGTGTGAGGGCAGGAGGACAGGGAGTACATTCAGAGGACCTGTTCTGACTTTCTTTGTTCTAGGTATTCTTTAAACCAGTGGTCTCCAACCTTTTTGGCACCAGGAACTGGTTTCATGGAAGACAATTTTTCTTTGGATCAGGGTGGGGGGATGGTTTCAGGGTGATTCACAGGCATTAGGTTTATTGTGTACTTTATTTCTATTATTATTACATAGTGATATATAACAAAATAATTATGCAACTCACCATAATGTAGAATCAGTGAGAGCCCAGAGCTTGTTTTTCTGGAACTAGACAGTCCCATCTAGGGGTGATGGGACACAGTGACAGATCATCAGGCATCAGATTCTCATAACAAGTATGCAACCTAGATCCCTCATATGTGCAGTTCACAGCAGGATTTGCATTCCTGTAAGAACGTAATTCCACAACTGATCTGACAGGAGAAGGAGCTCAGTCAGTAATGTGAGCCATGGGGAGTGGCTGTAAATACAAAAGAAGCTTCTTGTGGTTGCCCACCGCTCACCTCCTGCTGTTTGCACCCATACCAGTCCTGGAGGTTGGAGACCCCCGCTTTAAACTATTCAGGATCTAAATATGTTGCCCTCTTTTGAGCTATGACTCTTATGCTCTGTTACTTTAAGTATGTACTAAATTAATACATGATTTTTTAAACATCATTTTCAGCCCTTGTACAGAAGAATCAAGAGCAGAGGAAATAATTTCTGTATATGGCATGATCTAGAAGTTAATTAAGTGAGTGGGAAAAGGGATTCCAGGATTCTATTTCTGTGTCTCTGATTCACGGTTTTGAAACGACATCTAACCTCACTACATGTCAATTTTCTCTCCTGCTGAATACAGTTAGAAGGAAAAAAAACACTTCTCAAAGGTGTGGTGCTGTTTCGTTAAGGATTGTGATTGTCAGATGAAAGACCCTATCATCAGTGTTCTTTATTTTCTTCAGCGGTGGTCATAATTTTTAAAAAGGAAATGGACCCAGTGACTCAGCTCTATACCATGACTTCCACCCTGGAGTACAAGACAACCAAGGCTGACATACAAATGCCATTCACCTGCTCGGTGACATATTATGGACCATCTGGCCAGAAAACAATTCATTCTGAACAGGCAGTATTTGATATTTACTGTAAGTAATTCAATATATAATTATGCTATTTAATGTATTAGAAATAATATTCAAATGCTATTAATCTTTGAGGTCCCAATCCAATTACTCTTTGAATTCTGCTTCCAGTCTGCACCCCAAATTGATGGCACCCAAATAATCTCTTCCTCTTTAGGAGACCATAGCATGAATAAACATTTATCCATCCTATAATATCTTTCACTCTCTACATTTTATCTATGAGTGTCTCTTCTGAATTCCACTACACACTAAGTTCTTTAAAGATAAGATCTATAACTTATTTTCTGGATGAATGACAGACAAATATAGACTTTAACTGGCTTTCTAAATAAGAGATTACCATTTTAATGAAGAAATTTATTTTAATAATAAGATCAATTGCATAAGTTTGATAGGATGTTGTATTACAAGACATTTTACTTAACTAAATTGTGTATTTGAAACAGAGTATTTGTCTACAAAGGAATCTTCATGGTCATCTGTTCTAACTTCATTATTTTAGTTAGTAAAGTGAGGCACAGAGTCTTGCCCTAAATTAGCTGTAGATATTAGAATAGAATCTTTTTCTCCATTGCTGTGCTTTCCTTGTAAGACAGGTGCCAAGATAATCTAATGATTAGAAGCAAAAATTCTGGAATTCTAGTCCCAGCATTATCAATTACCATTTCTTGAAAAGTAGCTTAATTACTCTACATCTCAGTTTTCTTACTTTAAAATGGGAAAAATATAATACCTAACTGATAGTGTTGTTATAGAGAGTAAGTGAAATCACAAATCAAAAATAGCATGCTACATCACACATTAAATTGTCATTATTAAGTACTTTATTATTATTATTATATGGTCATTATCACAATATAAACATAGAGCTGAAGATATTTGGGGGGAAAATGCAATAAAGGATTTTCTTCTTATTATTAATTTATCTAAAATTTTTGTGATACTGGCATGTGTTCTACAGTAACCTAGCACTTCTACATCTATTTTAGAGAAAAGCCAGGAATGCCTGCTGAGCCTTTCGAAAGAATCACCTCACCTACATTTCTTTTTTTGGTTCCCTAGGGCACAATATCTTATATGAGAACAAAAGTGAAATTCTTCCAAAGTTGCCCTAATATTAAAAGGTAGTTTTGCCTTAAACTTGGGAAATAAGTTTCAACTTGATTTAAACCCAAGAAATTAATATTTCATTATGTATAGCTTATCTAAAATCAAACTTTTTTAGGTGAAGGCAGAATTCTTTCTTTCTTTTTTTTTTTTTTGTGTGAGACATAGTCTCACTCTGTTGCCCAGGCCAGAGTGCAGTGGCGTAATCTCAGCTTACTGCAACCTCCACCTCTTGAATTCAAGTGCTTCTCCTGCCTCAGCCTCCCAAGTAGCTGGGATTAGAAGCGCATGCCACCACACCCTGCTGATTTTTGTATTTTTAGTAGAGGTGGGGTTCCACCATGTTGGTCAGGTTGGTCTCGAACTCCTGACCTCAGGTGATCTGCCCACCTCAGCCTCCCAAAGTACTGGGATTACAGGTGTGAGCCACCAAGCCCGGCCCAGAATTCTTTCTGTTAGAAATATTCAATTGGAAATAAACCATATTAGTGTAAGTGTAGGTGTACAACACAGGAGAGAACATCAAGATAAGTAATAAGAATTGGGAAATTGGCTTCAGAAAGAATAGAAATATCTGTGAGTATGAGGCATGCAGAGTTGGGTAGACGGAGAAGTTCTTGAATGGATACGAAGAAAATGATTTTATCATGCTGGCTGTGTAAGGTGCACTTGTCATGGCTTTTAAGAAGCCACAGTGGGCTTCATGGTGAAAACACGAAGCACAAAGAAGCAGTTTAAGACAGTCCTCACATTCAAGGAGTGTACTACTCCAGTAGAGAAACAAGACACCTACATCAGAAGGAAATTGCCAATGCAAGGTTGTAAGGGTAAAAGTCTTAGGAACTCAGTATTAAGAGTCTTGAGGGCTCAGGTGCCCAAGGACAGTGGTTCTCAAACTGTAGTGTAAATCAGAAGAACATGAAGGACTTGTTAGAGCACAGATTACTGCACCCTGGCCTTGAGTTTCTGATTTAGTGGGTATAGGACGGTGATTGACACTCTGCATTTGTAACAAATTCCCTGATGGTGCTAATGCTGCTGATCTGAGGACTACGAGTGGAGAACCACTGCTCTAGGAAGACTTCAGAGAACAGAAGAAGAGTGCTAAATGGAAAGGAGAGACGAGTCCATTTCAAGAAAAAAAAATTGGCCAATTCATCTTGAGAAAGCTTGAGAAAAATGCACCAGTCCACTCCTTTCTTACCCTATTCAATCAGTAACGAGGTTTTAGAGAATCTAGCTCTTTAATCTTTGTTTTGATCTGATTTCTGCCTTCTGACACTGCCTACGTTTATGCCACCATTCCTCATTGCCTCTATTCCTGCGATGGATTTCAAAGTAGTATTTTTCCAATGAATTGCAAAATAGTATTTCTCTTGTCTGCCCACCATTCTCTGTTCACCCCCAAATAAACTGCCCTCCAAACTGCTGCCAGAAATATTTTTCTAAAACACAAATGTGACAAAAACTTCTCAGTGACTCCCCAGAGCTCTCAGATTAATATCCTTCCCCCTCCCCCAATTGCAGTATGCCTTGAGTTCGTTTTAGCCATGGTCCTACAGTATGTCTCAACCCTCATCACTGCCTGTATCCACTGTGGTCTGTTCTACTTTCCAGATTCCTTCTGTAGAGTAATACTTACATGCCTATGCATATGCTGTCATTTTCCCACCTTTATCATTTAGCAAATACCCATTTATGTGTCAAAACCCAGCTCCAGGGTCAGTTCCTCCAGGAAGCTTCCTAGTCTCATGTAATGATGGCTACCAGGATCCCTATGCTTGTGTCATATGCAGGTTTTATGTGGTCATACTCTTAATTATTAAGTTTGGTGTCTTTACAAATAGAGGAAAAGTTCATTGAGGCAGGGTTTTCAACTTCCTAATTCCAGCACTTAAGGCTTGCACAATATAGATGCCAAACAAATGAATAAATGAAGAAGGACTGTAGGATAAATAAATACATGAAAAGAAAATTTCAGCAGACAGTTTTGGTTATTTTGTAGGGGTTTATGTAGCAGAGTAAGAGAGAAGACTCTCACTTGAGCTGGGTTCAAGCCAAATTGTGGATACCAGGCTAAGGAATTTTTATTTTTAATCTTCATATGTTGGGAATGTGTAACAGATTTTGAGTATCATTGTAATATTCAAAGCGCTACTTCAGAAAACAGATTCAGAGGAAATATATATGAAAGGATCAAAAGGAAGGAGACTCAAGGTGAGGAACCAAGTGAAATTTGATGGCATTGCTTCAAGTTTAGGTTAATTAGGACATGGACTAGGGAAGTGTTAGTGAGAATAGAAGGGGAGAATCAGACCCAAAATATATTGTAAAGTATTAATCATCAAGACATGGTGACTGAATGGATAAGAGAGGGCAAAGGAGAAAGCCAGGGCAATGGGCAAAATGATGATTTACTAGTGGGCAGAGTAAAATTCAAAGTCAGGGGCAAACGCAGAGCAAGGGATCCTTAACTTTGAGGTAAACACGTTAGTGGACATGCAGAGAGTTACTGTCAAAACGCAAATGTGTTACATTAACCCTTTGATGACTCTCTAATACAAAGCGGAGCCTATTGAAAAGGGAACACAGAGAAGGGGAGTTTTAAAATAGAGAAGGAAGTCAGAGATTGCCATCCCTGGCTGTTCTGTTGTGTCAACCTTGATCAGAGATGTGCCACAGTGACATGCCACAGGCCAAACATGAGCACTAGTCAGAGAAGGGCCAAGTAAGAAAAGCAAGAGAGGCCCGGAAACGGAAGGTCAGCAGGGCACCAAAACCAGATTTTATTTACTTTTCAACCTCACCGGAAACTGCTGGTTAGGAAACTACTTCAGGCAAATCCAGAAAAACAAATAAGAAATGTATTAAATCAATCACCGTTTAACCTCAGAATGTACTGGACAAGTATTCAGAGATGCCCAAGCATAGAGAAAAGGCAAAGAAACAATCTATAACAAACTTCTAAGTTTTTTTATCTGCACTTTATCTATAGAAAGGTAAATAAATGACCGCAAGAGATAGAACAAAGCCTCCAAAAGTATAACTTACTCATTTCACTTGTTAGCTAATAAAAAAAATAGGTTTTCATAGATAATTTTTAGTGCCACCAGTTTGGAAATATATACACATGCCTCAATAATTATTAAGTCTTGTGGAAAACATTCTATAAAACATACCTTTGCATTATATGATTTCAAAATTTATTATTCATTGTATTATCCAGCAACATAACAAATGGATAGGTTAGTGGATCATTTCTAACTGCCAGCACCACTTCATTTTATTTCCTGTTTGCTAGATATGGTTCACTGTATCCAGCATTTAATTTCATTAGCATTCTACTATTGAGTGCTGAAGCATACCCTTTAGCCCTATTTTCTCCATAAATTGACCAAAATGGAATGAAAGTTGCATCTTGGCTCCAATGAACAGGACAAAATTACAATACACTTACAGTCCTGTTGATTGTGTCAAGGTTCTCCCTCAGTTCATAGGATTCATCTTTTTTTAAGCAGATCTTCTCTCCTGCATGCCGAAATCCTCGCTGGTGTTGTTTAGCTCATGTCTCCTCTTTTTATTTCATATGAAGTATTATCATGCAATATGAGTACAGTGGCATCTAATAGCTTTAGCTATTTGCTAGCTGATTTTTGTCCTTCCAAACTATAAGATTCATATAATATATAATTAAATTTCCCTATCATAAAGCCATGCAGTTTGATTGTTCCTATGGTCTTTTATACATAAAATAATTACCACCATTCCTACCTCAGTTAAAGACATTTTGCTAAGAAGAAATTGATTTTTATGTAACAGGGTTTCTTTGTAGTTGGCCCTAAGATTAGTACTTGTATAGCAAGTAGCTATTAGCTTCAATCCTTCTATAAAAAGGTATATTTAAGCAATTACCATTACTAGCTTCTTGAGAAAATTATGTATAATTTAGTCATTTACATTGTATGCACAGAGTAATTCGGTACTTGACAAAAATGGTTAACTTGTGTCTGTAACTCTTACAGATCCTACAGAGCAGGTGACAATACAAGTGCTGCCACCAAAAAATGCCATCAAAGAAGGGGATAACATCACTCTTAAATGCTTAGGGAATGGCAACCCTCCCCCAGAGGAATTTTTGTTTTACTTACCAGTAAGTGCTTAAGTATTACTTCAGTTGGATGACTATCATTTTTCCTGTTGTTTGACTTCTACATGGATAGATTAAGTGAGAAAAAATGTTATTGCTGGAGACAAGAGACGCCACCTATAAAATGTCACGTGGAAGCTTTTTCTGCACCTGCCACTGTTCTTGCCTTTTTTCTCAATGCTGAGAGATTTCAAGGACAAAGAGAAAAAAAAAGCCAACCACAGGAAACCATAATTGCAAAAACTTAAAGTTTAATTATCCAAATAAACTTTAAGAATCTGCTCCTCAGAAGCAGATAACTACAAAATGAAAACTGATGACAGTGAATGAACTGATGTGGATTCTAAATCTGCCCACAACATTGCCCCGAACACACCTCTAACCCTCAGAAGTAGGGATAGTTCTGTTGCACGTTATATTTAGGATAATGCTATGGCTCTTTTTTGGTCATTATGTATAATCTTGAAATGCCATTTCCTCAACTTTTCTCCATATCATAGCTGAAGGAAATGATATGCATAGAGGATACTTTGGAAAATTCCTCTCGGATGTGCTCTGCATGTCATAAGGATCTGGAAGCAGACAAGGAGAGAGCTCGCTCTGAGGATGCCTGTTTGCTCTCGCATATCTTTGTGTTTGACATCACTTTCACATTGAGGGAAGCCATAATGCAACTCAATACTGCATTTACTGCAGGGTTGTGCTTACAAATTTCATCTACCACAGTACTCAATAGTATTTAAGAATGTCATTCACTACATTATTCAGAAGACTAGTATAAGTAATTTCTTTATGCTGACAGAAAACTTTGTTTCTCCCAATGAATTAATTGCTGTTTTTGTTTCCTTTGCGAAGGAAAATTTAAAACTAATTAGGTTTCTGCTTTGGCTATCGGGGATGACAGAGCCAAATTTGTGTCTCAGTTTTAGCAATAATACCTGCTGAATATCTTTCTTTGTTAACTTATATTATTCCTACATCATCTATATTTTTCCTAGTCTTAATTTCTTAATTTCTTTTTTTCTTTTGTCATTTTCTTTTTTTCTTCTCCTCTCTCTCTTCCTTTCCCCTTTCTTTCTTTCTCATTCTTCTCATTTCATCCTTTCTTCCTTTTTACTTTCCTTCCTTCCTTCTTTCCTTCCTTTTATGTTTTTTCTT
The DNA here is from genome assembly GCF_000001405.40 of Homo sapiens. Classification (NCBI taxonomy): domain Eukaryota; kingdom Metazoa; phylum Chordata; class Mammalia; order Primates; family Hominidae; genus Homo; species Homo sapiens. The sequence continues at coordinate 105,541,258 of NC_000003.12, forward strand.
TTAATCTGGATATATAGTGTATTTCCTTTTAAGCTGCCTCAAATATTTTTGTCAAATTACATAAGGCATAAATATAAAAATAAAACATTGGACTTTTTAAAAATGCCCTTGAAACTTGAGCAAAAGCCATGCTGTCAATAAAATAAAAGTCATCAATAGAAAATAAATCAGCTCTCAAATTCCTTAGGTCCAAAATATTAATTATTTGCCCAGGAATCAGATATTGGTAACACAAACTGTACTCTTTTTGTGTGATCAATGAAACACATTCCCTTTTTTATCTTACTTGATAAAATGCTATCTTCATCAAGAAATACAACTGTTCTCATTGTAGCGACCAAGTATAATCATCTGACATTTTGCCTCTATCAAAAGGGACAGCCCGAAGGAATAAGAAGCTCAAATACTTACACACTGACGGATGTGAGGCGCAATGCAACAGGAGACTACAAGTGTTCCCTGATAGACAAAAAAAGCATGATTGCTTCAACAGCTATCACAGTTCACTGTAAGTCACCTACTTCTTCATCAGCAGCTTCACCTCAAAGGCTTCTAATAGCTTAATGTAGCTATCTTTTCAAATAAACTGCACGTATATCTTTCTTAAATAACTTGGTTGCAATAGATGCAGTAGAGAGAGAAAGCATCGGGATAAGCTCAACTTTGTCCAGATTTGTACTGCAATATTGAAACCTTGCATGGCTCTGATAACCGCAACTTTTGGCAGTGGTACATCTCCATCTTCTTTCTAAGTGTCTTCAATTTGTGGTGTCAATGAACAATATTCATATAGACCTTAAAGAAACAACTCTGTATATTTTAAGAAAACATTTCCATGTTCTTGAAGTGCACCAGCTTTGCAGTTGACCCAGCATTATCATTTGTGTTACAGAATAAATTTAACACCCAAACTCAGACAATACAAAGTTACTACAGACTCAGTTTTGGGAACAGGAAGTAGAGATCATTAGAAGTTATTTATTGGCTGAATGTACTCTATATAGAGGGGTAGGAAATTTCTGGAAACAGAACCTCTTGAAAATCACTGTGGACATAACTTTTTAACTTTTAATTTGCTTTTGATCTCCAAATACTCCAAAAATTATATTTGCCTCGGTGTAACAGAAAAAGACACATGTAAATACCAGACATTTAACTTGAGTTCTTCATGACAGTCCATATTATTGATGTACCTGATGAATCATGGAAACAGTAAACTAATTCATACCACACCCTGGTGACACTAGAATTCAGAGTGCTTTAAGCAAATGTCAGTCTTGCTTAGAGGTATAGTACAAACTTCCTAATAAGTCCTTTGCACTCAACAGTACCATTAATAAGGTTTCCTCTAGACATCATCCACTACAATCCCACTGAGTATAAAGAGACTTTAGAAATTGTCTTGAGTACATAGTTCTAACTCTTTCATTTGACTCATAATACTTTAAAAACATGTGGGATATGAGCTAAATTTTTGAGAGAGATACAGGGAGGTACATTGGGGAATAAAGCAACCAGATGGTTGCTTCTGATTGTCTGATGTTGGGAGTGCTCCCTTGAGAGCCCTGTAAAAATAGTGGACTGTTATGTTCACAGCTGGGCCATTTCTCCATTTACTCCTTGCTTATGTTGCTTGGGTTTGAATGTGTCTCCCATCAGGGGCTAGTTACAGAGAAAGCAGTAGCTTCCAGTATAACAATATTATCCAGTCCTGTTCCATGAAAATAAAATAATGAAGAAAGAGAATATAGCCAGCAGATAGAACCATATGTGGAATAGCTAGCTCTCTATTATCATTGCTCATGATGTCTTTGGGCCAATAATCAATAATCTAGTGCCTTAGAGATGGTGTGATGTGCTTATTTTTAAGAGATGCAAGGTACACAGGTCTCTAAAAGAAAAGGGCTCTTATTTACTTTACTTGTAGATAAGGCAGGGGAGGATAGATGGCAGACTGACAAAGCAAAAGACTTGGTTGCAGCCATATAGTGCCTACGTGTTTGGCTGTGATGGGGGAAAATTAAACAAAAGTGTGTAAAAGTTTAACTGGATTTTAGTGCATTTAATTAGATTTAAATGCATCTTGGTTTTGACAGGTAGACTCTAACACTGGGTTTTAACTCTGTTGCTGACTCTGTTCCTCCTCAAAAGCTGAAAAAAAGTATTTCAAGTAAATCAACATCTGATTCTAAATTATATGGAAACATAAAAATCCTATTTTTACCCACTTATCTTTGATTGCTTGCTTATTTTCCAAAAACAAGATTTGTTTCCTTTTCAAACATGTCTAAAGGAAGTGTGGGTAGAGAAGCGCCAACCCATTCTTGCACATGTTTGCAGAATAGACTGCTCATCAAGTCTCACAGCCTACAAATTCCTAGTTGCTGATGAAAGTCACTGTTTCCCTGCCAATATATGCACACATAGAGTCTTCATCAGAGCTTTCAAAGTCCATCATTGTCCTGTAAAATTGTTTATCTCCTCTCTGGAAAATTAGCTATCCAGCTAACAAAAACTTCTAACTCATCCAGAATAAAATTTTCATCTAAATACAATTCACCCAAATGTTCCAAGGAAACTCCACTTTTCTACATGTTGGTACATGGTTTCATATTAATGAGAAATTGAGAAAGCATGCTCCTTCCCTTCATTCATTCAATAGTAATGTTTGAGAGTCTACCATGTCTCAGCCACTGTGGATATATCAGTGACAAACCAAGTCACAATCACTACCCTCATGGTGCTTTCAGTCTGATAGGAGAGACAAACTTTAAAAATGATGTTGCAGTCAACAAGTTGCAATTATGACATTTTAAACCAAGGAGAAACTTGGAGTGTAATGGCAAGTCTTCATACTGTAGAACAAAGACACAACTCCTAGTGTGGCAAGCATGGTCCTCTTCAGTCTGGTCTCAATGAATTGTATGAGTTTAACTTCCATGAGTTGTCACCACTTATACCCAATTACTCACCATTACAAAATCTGCCAAGCTTTCTCATCTCTTCGCCTTTGCTTATGTGACCAAAGTTTTCCTTACATCTTCCCCTATCAAAGTCCTTCTCAACCATCAGAGGCCACGAACATATAGTGTTCCCTTTACAAAGCCTTTATTACTGCTTTGAAACCCAGTTTGGCTCTGTTCTCTATACTTCCATTAAGTCTTCATTTGTACCTCTGTTTCTAGCCTGCCTTTCATCTTTCAACAAATATTTAGTGAACTCCAAATCAGTGTCAGGTTTGCTACTAGGTGCTGATTTTATGGGCTGTGTGTTATAGTCAGCATAGTACCTCTACCTCATTGACTTATAAGGTCATTATTTATCTCTGCATCTCTCATCAGTGCTTGGGACTTAGTAGCTGTACAATAAATACTTGTTCAGTTGAGTTGGAATTTTCTCATACAGATCAGACTATGACAGTAAGATTTTTATAAAGATTGTTTTCCATCAACTGGATGAGAAATGGAATAGCACTTTTTAAAAATATCTGCTGCTATAGTAAATTCTCTCTGAAGAAACACAACTACTATCTCATGGTTTTTCAATTTATCACCTGCTGTCTAAAGATGCTTGATTTTCCAACATTTATGCCTTACTGTCTCTTTATATAATATTTACCTAGTCATCATCTTTATTTTCTTCCAGAAGTGACTTAAGATTTTTTTTTCTTAAGGTGATAGGCCCTAGGGGAATATTTATATCCCCTCAAAATATCAATCACGTTAACTGCAAATAAATGGATAATCAATTAGATTGACCACTCTCTTGTCTAAACTAGTCTCAAGGCTGGCTTGAAAAACTAGGCTAATCATGCTATAGTCCAATTATTTTAGTCATATAAATCAGTTCTGAATGTTCAAATGCAGTTAGAAGAAATTTATTTTCTTTCATCTTTTCTTCTCCAAAATATTTTGACTATCTTACATTTCAGAGTTAGCACTTTGAACAGATTTTCTGCTTCACAGATTTGGATTTGTCCTTAAACCCAAGTGGAGAAGTGACTAGACAGATTGGTGATGCCCTACCCGTGTCATGCACAATATCTGCTAGCAGGAATGCAACTGTGGTATGGATGAAAGTAAGTAATATTTTTGGTACTACCCTGCTGTTTGGTTTGATTTCTTTTTAGGTTTCTTATGCACTTTATATTGTATTCAAGTAGGTATATTCATGGATGTGTTTATATACCAGCTCTCTCTCTCTCTCTGTTTCTGATAAGAGAAATAAAATAACAATAAAATTTTAGAGGTGCTCAACACGGTGACATCCATAATTGGTATTCTGAAACTTAGTTTGGGGTGTTATGTCAATTATGTGTATATACTAATTATACACACACCACACGCATGTGTGCACATACAAACATAGTTATATACCACAGGGCTTAATAATTTACAGTGTGTTTTTGCCCACATTATCCTTACGTGATATTTACAACAACCCTGTGAAATACAAAGATTATTATTTTCCCCACATTCTTCATATAAAGAAATTGAAGGGAAATAAATCAGAAAGCTCATAACTGACAGAGTAGAGACTCAAGGCCAGACCTTACTGAGTATGAATACTATGCTTTGATAAGACACCTTTTGTCTCTCTGCTGCTGAGACCACTCTTAAGTTTCTGAAAACAGGTTCCACTGGATCAAGGGCTCCTAGAAAGCAATCCCTTTTATCCCTGAGCTATAGTAGAATACCTGGAACATAGTAGGAGTTAATTCAGTATTCCCTGAACAAGTGCTTATACTCTTGTAATTGTCTGAAATGTAGGCCATTGGCTATCCTTTTAGAGTAAGGAAGTGTGACTGATAATTGGTGATTTGAGACAAGGTTATCACCAAAGGAAAAGGTTGTGATTGCGATCCCTCCACTTAAACCCTTGGCTAGTATATCCAAACTCCCAGTGCATTTGTTACCAGAGCATGACATGTGACAAGAACCCTTAACCCATGATGGGTTCAGAAAACAACACATACCATTTGAAATAGGAGTTGACAAGAATTACCTTTATAAGAAACTGTGGAGAAATATTTTTCTAGAGTTTCTTTTTGATGGAAATATATTGATGAAATTATTTTGTATTGCTTTACTGCCTGCCTTTTGATCCTTTTTAACACTCGATCCTCTGCTACTTGTTGTCTTACTCTGTGAGCTCAGTTTCTTATTGTACTCTCTTTCAGCCACAGCCTCATCACAACTTGTTCACTAAAATAAAGTGCCACTTCCTATGCTGCAATCTAGCATGATATGTTTGTAGTAATCAGTGATCACAAGGCTAGACAAGTTCTAGGCAACTAGACTAATTCATAATCATTTGAACACTCATTGCATGTTTTACTATAGGACTAGAGAAACTAAGTTTACTGTGGTTTAAACTGTTTGTACAATCAACTGCAATCACTGTTATGAATTAACTGTCATGAACAGCTCATGTATTCAAAATAGTGATGATCAGTATTCCCTGATTATTGGTTAGTTAATGGGGAGTGGGAAAAAATATCCTAATGGACAAAGACCACATAATCTTAGGATTGTGTCTAGTTGCCTGCTTAGGAGCATTTCAATTCCTGACATAATAGGATTATTTTCTGTATATCAGGCTATTTTTTAAAATTAAATGATACATTTCCTTTGTTCATAGAAATTGGAATAGAACGCTTTCCAAATTATAAATTCAGTAAATGAAAGAGCGTGAAATAAAAATCTGACATGTCTGACTCTAAAACAACAAAAGAAAAAGGAAATCTATTTTGAAAGCATCTGAAGTTAAGAAAAAGAAGTTTGCATTTATATTATTCCCAGAAGAATTGTTTTAGGCTTAATTATTATCTAATAAATACACTGAGAATTTTAATTCTGCCACATGAGGTAATTTACTTTTTATTTAATCAGGATAACATCAGGCTTCGATCTAGCCCGTCATTTTCTAGTCTTCATTATCAGGATGCTGGAAACTATGTCTGCGAAACTGCTCTGCAGGAGGTTGAAGGACTAAAGAAAAGAGAGTCATTGACTCTCATTGTAGAAGGTAATAAAATACTTGGGCACTAATTCAAATTGTTCTTTGAGAATTTTTTACCTGGTTTCTTTTATGATCTCAGTTCAACATCTTATTTTAATTGTAATATTTCAGGCAAACCTCAAATAAAAATGACAAAGAAAACTGATCCCAGTGGACTATCTAAAACAATAATCTGCCATGTGGAAGGTTTTCCAAAGCCAGCCATTCAATGGACAATTACTGGCAGTGGAAGCGTCATAAACCAAGCAAGTATTTGTCTTCTTGTTATATGCTGCACTTCGTCCAATGCGTTTTTTTTCCTTCACGAACCTACCCTATAGGTTGGTTTGTTACCACATAAAATTTGCAGTGTGTAGGTTGGTTTGTTACCACATAGAATTTGCAGTACATGCTCAGAGGAAGCTTTTGCTAACTTCTTAATTTTCCTAGAGGAAGAACATGGCTCAAAGAGAAATTTTATCCCAGGGCCATGGAGAAGGGAAGAACCATTGTGTCATGGTCAGTATCTGTTTTTAAAAGAATATAAATTAGGTATTACTTCATGATCATTCATTCCTAAAATGTGAGTGATTAAAACATTAAGATATACACTTTCCTGCAAAATAAGCTCATGCATCTCAGTATAAGTGAACTCTAATACTGTGCTCAACTTATGCACATTAAGGGGTGTTACTTCTTAAAACTATGTCCTCGTGTAGGAATGGTGGAGAAGAACACAGTTACTGCTTATGAATGTGTGGTCTGACATGCCTATGCAGTGCTAGGGCCAGAATAAGGCAAGCTACATATATAGTGCCTAGGATGTGCCCTTCTGAACAAAAGGGTCATAAACCAGACCTTAATATTTGTACCTTTTTATTTTAGTAATAGTAAAGGGTTAAGGATTTGTTAACACTACCTGTTATTTTCTTTTACTATTAAGTCTTTGACCCTCCCCTTAAAGGAAAAATGAGAATCTGGCCTACCACTAGGGATTCAGAACTGTAATCCCAGTAATTTGCCAATCTGCTTGGGTTGCTGACATACTTGCTAATTCCATTGTTCTCTACAACAGTCTTCGTGTCTCCCTCTTCTCAGTATAATCTGTAAAGGCTTCTCAGGAGCACCCAGAGGTACCACTGGATTATTTAAATCTTCTGTACTTCTCAGATTTTGACCCAGTTGAAATTTGAGAAGACATATATAAAGCAAAGAGCTGTAAATTAATTTTAAGTTAAAATCTCCACTCTTCCTCTTTCTAGGGAAGTTGGGCCACTGTCCCAGCTTACGCCATGCAGTTTTGCAGTGCAAAGTGGATTTTGGCTCTTTCAACTATAGGTGATGCATATATAGCTGCATAACTCTAGATATGGAAAGCCCTCAAAAGAGTAGGCACACGTGAAGTGAATGACTCCTGATTTGGTTAAGTGTGATGGGGACACACAGTAAGAAAGCATATAAGAGGAGGCAAAGAAGCTCTGGGCTCCTCAAACCTAGGAAAATGCAGTTTTCTTGATTTGGAATAAAGACTTGAACCATCTAAATTGCTGACAATGTGCAGATCTATTTTTAGCATCAAAAATGGTGGTTTCTTTTCTACTCTATTGTTTTTGCTCTCTAGTTCAATTAAGTGATAACTGCAGCAAAAAAGAACCTTTAGGTACTGGTAATACAGACATAGAAAACAGAAACATAAGCAGACAGTAAGTTTTTGATTAATGAAAAGATATGAAGATTTAAAAGACCATCCTAGAAATGAGAAAATATATTTTGTAGAGTTTAAAGTAACAAAAACAAAGATTCCGTGAGAAAGTCAGATGAAAAATCCTAGTACGAAGTGAAAAAATAGCAGGTAAATTTACTGTGAGGATAAAAATAATAATGCCATCTTTCATTGTCAAGGAGAAAGATTGATTCTGGCCCACTGGGTGATATGTTATTTTTCTTGTTCTGGGATTTGTGCTGATGCATCCATAATCACAATTTTATTTGTTCCCTTCTCAGATACATGGTGAATCTGTTATTTTACAACTAGAAGATGTCTCTGCCCCTCCTCCACCCCAGCAACTAGAAGATAACCAAAACAGGAGAATAGCTCTTGTCCTCAAGGCACTTACCATGTAGTTGAGGAGAAAGCAAACAATATAGAAAGAGAAAAATGTAGGGAATGAGTTCATAAGATGACCGAGAAAAGAGTGCAAGTACATTATTTGCCTCAACCTTGTTGGGTTTAGGAGTCAAATCCTAGGGATGAGATTAAAGTAAATTGTATTTTATATTTGAAGGAATTAAATGCAGTGATTACCCTCATTAACACCTCACAAACATCAGAGGGACAGCAATCACTGAAAAATCATCCATCCTCTGTATTTACAACAGAAAACTTTAGAAAAAAATGGTTTCATGTACCCATGAGCAAATTATACATACATACATACTTTGATATAATGGTTTAAGATAAAGGAATTAATTCCCACAGTGAAGAACAGTGACTAAATTTATAAATAATTAAATTCATATATTTATTGGTGGAAAGTTGGTGTTTAAATAGTCACCAATTAATTATTTTGAAACAAGTATCATCAGGCCAAAATGTTGACTAAACCTGAGATTCTATTTAAAAAGAAGAGTTTAATTAACTTAATTATTAGAATTCACAAAAGAAACATAAACAGAAATTTCATTATGGATTTACTAATCTTTGTAGATATTGGCATACATGGGTCTTGATCTATGATCTTACATAGCTTTTGAACACCAGAATGCTCTATAGAGCACCACGCCTATCCTATTACAGTCATCATTACTCTTTCCTATGCTTTTTAATCCATTTTGATTTCTAAACCCACCTTTTTTCTTCTTTTTCCAGACAGAGGAATCTCCTTATATTAATGGCAGGTATTATAGTAAAATTATCATTTCCCCTGAAGAGAATGTTACATTAACTTGCACAGCAGAAAACCAACTGGAGAGAACAGTAAACTCCTTGAATGTCTCTGCTAGTGAGTATTTTATTTCTGGCATTACAAAAGTAAGAAAATTTGAAGTTATTCTTCATTAGTTTAAAATCTTCAATTCCATCTTCCTGTACTGCATTATGGTAAGTTTTATTTATTTATTTTGCATTTGGTATCATCATCATAAGGTTATTTTTTCTTTTTTCCTGTCCATTCTTGTACTATCCTTGTCTTGACAGTTAAATCATTTCATGTTTTATGGGTCAGAGGCCTTATCCTGTACAGGAATAGTTCCCAAAAGCAACAGAGAATAAAAAATAAGTTTCTCTTATTTAATTCATGTTTTATGTTCAGAGTGGAGATAATTCAAAGATCATCTTAAAACATTTTTGTAACAGTTTTAAATTTGGTAAATTTGTAATTCCCTTTGATCTATTATTTTGCCTTCTAATTCTTTGTGGTATTTATCCTACCCTTATGTTGTACTAGAATGCCACAAGCTTAAAGTCATTTAGTAAACTAGCAAGAGTGATTTTAGAATTCATGAATCTAGTTTACAAAACTGTTCCTTTTGTCATATCATATTTAAACTATAGCCGAAAATCAGATAAGTGAAACTATCTCAGAGAATGTGGAAAAATCTGTCGATGTTGAAATCAGGGTAATACATACATACCAACAACAGCTTCTTCAGAAAACAATTGTCATTTAATGTGAAATTGTCCATAATCTTCAATTCTATAGTTGTTCCTATTGTTTTGTCAACCTTAAATCAGGACTGGCCTAGAATGAGGCTCAGTTCTGGACAGGATGCTAACTGACCTGCCAAACTTTTATTCTTCATTCAGTTGGAAACCTGTATATGACATTAGCAGGCTAGGACTACACTAGCTGGGAATTAGCAAGAGCTAGGAGAAAATAATCATCAAAAAATAATGGTCCCTCACAGATTATGACTGGAATATAAAGGCCTAATGGATTGACAGGATAAAAGAACCAAACAAATTTAACTCTAAGATAGAAGCATTGACTTCTCAGAATGCAATTCAGTGAGTATTGATTTGTCCCACCTAGGAAGAGAACCTACCCTTTCTTCCTGAACACAAGTTTCTCTTTTTATGTTAACCCATTGAATGGTATGCTTCAGTTTTCTAGGCCTTGCAGTGACTTTATCAACATTTAATATAGTCGTTTTCAAATTCAGTGAGCACCTCCTGAGATGCCAATTTAGCATGTATGAGGAGAGGTCCGGGAATCTGCATTTTATCAAATGTCACTGGCAGTTCCGATGCATGCCCATGCACTTTGAAGTTTATTTATAGAGTTTAATATTAGATAATAATTCAACACAGTGGTAATTCTTAAAATGGACAAAGAGCATGGCATTATCAGAGTCATTTGGAGAGCTTTGCAAACATCATGTATGTTGCTTCTTAATCTCGGAGGTATCCCCAGTTTTAACCTCTACTCCTACTACTTTGAGAACATCTCTAGTGGTAAGTCCTTGACACTGGAGGATGACAATGAATTCTCCTATATCGGGCAGGAAAGTTGAGAAAAGTTGATAAACATCACACTGTAGACTTCCTAGGTGCCGACTTGCTTCCCTAAAAAAAGAATGACTATTAAAAGGTGGTGGATAGTGGGAAAATCAATATGGATTTCAGATTAATTCTATAGGTCATCAGTTATGAAATTTTCTATGGTAGATTAATATCTTTGCAGTTGTAGCTCCTCTCCTTAAAACAAGATTAATTTCTTTGTAGGCAAGGTCATACTTTATTAAGTGTGATTTTTTTTTTTTTACTGTTAGCTATAGAATAGACATTTTATCTTTGAGTATTATTACATCATACTATAATGGTAAAGGTGACTTTCATATATCAACAAATTTTGTTTTTAATTTCATATTAACATTTTTCATTTCAGTAAGTATTCCAGAACACGATGAGGCAGACGAGATAAGTGGTAGGTACTATGCTGCCGACTCTTCTTCCTTGACTATCAGCTCAAGATTTATGAAGTGTCATGGTATAAGTAATTTTCTTAGCTGTCCACAATTTTGACTTGAATTAAAATACCAAAGACAAGATAGTAAGAATGCTAAAATTTTACCCTTTAAAAATCACAAGTTTGCATGTTAATTACTGTAGTGAGCTTTAGTCATTTTTAATACAAAGTAATAGCTAGATTGACTTTCTGAAAATCCTTGGCATTGTCTGTAATTGCATGGACTTTTCTTCTTTGTTGCAGATGAAAACAGAGAAAAGGTGAATGACCAGGCAAAACTAATTGTGGGAATCGTTGTTGGTCTCCTCCTTGCTGCCCTTGTTGCTGGTGTCGTCTACTGGCTGTACATGAAGAAGTCAAAGTGAGTTGTGGAAAAAAGATCTTCATCGTTCATTGACTTTCACTGGGAGAAAATACAATGTGCTAATTTTGCTCACTCCAGTCGTGCATATAATTTATACAATAAGGAAGATGTATCCCCAAATCAGGTTGATTATATATTTTGTTTCAACTAATTTTGACTACACTGCCTTTGTCAGGGACATGGCTTGGGATACTGTTTCACATGTGTCCGTTTATTTGTCTCAATCAATAGCCTGAATTCAATTATTTGATTTTTTCAGTGCTTGAGTGAATTTTTTAAAGCGTATACTTCCTAAAGGTCAACAACCATAGACTTTTTGGTTGAAGTTGGAGAAGATTCATTAAAAGTACCTAGTACATCTTGTAGGGACTGCCAGGTGTCTTTGCAGTGACACATCTGGCCAGCAATGAAACTGCTGCTGAGGTAGGAATATCTTATTGTTATTACTCCCATATTCTAGTTAGTTGACTTTGATCCATATAAGAGTCTATATCAGAGAAAATCATGTCATTATGTCAACTTGAGTTTTTAAAAATGGATTAAAGTACCAACACTACATTAAAAATGCTTTAGAGATGTTAAACATTATTAGTTATATGATATTACAGATAGTATGAACCTTACAAATTATCTAACAGTGGTTTATAAGGAAAATCCGATGAACCAGCGAAGATTCTTAACATACACACATGTCTTATACTTCTCATCATCTCACTCCCAACCCTAGATTCAGATACCATTGATAGGGGTGGGGTTCCAGCATCTGCACTTTTAAAAAGTTTCACTGGTGATTCTGCGGCATGCTGCTAGTTTCAAACATGGGTTTTAAACCACCTTATCTTATAAATGTGTAAATTAAGTTTTGCAATGGGATGTCTATAGCTAGTGGAACTTTGGACTTAATTTTATATTATGTCTGATATGTCCCCTTTAAAAAATGTAAGAAAGTTGACTTAAAAGAGAATCAAAAGAAAAATCAGATTTAAATCAGGACCCATGATCTCACCTTGTAAAGATGCCAGTTCCAATGAAGCAATATTCAAATGGAGCTGCCATCCAAGGGAGGCAGAAGCTCTGAAATTTTGAAGTCACATAGCAGCATGAGCATGTATTGAGCTCATGTTCTCACAACACATCTATAAAGTACACACCATTATTATTCATATTTTACATTTTAAAAATCTGAGGCAGAGAATGGTTAAATGACTTGCCTAAGGTTACATAGTTTGTAGGGCACAGAATTGTTATTTGATTTAAGGCAGTGATGTTTTAGAATCTTTGTGTTGAAGGAGTAGACCATACTTTCTCTCACTTGCTTTATTTTGTGCCACATTAGGCAGAAACATTTCTCCTGTTGTGTGTTGTCACTGATGCACACGATGTCCACTCTCACATGATGGCACAACTGCTCCTCATCTTGGCCTTTCTCTCCTTAGTCTTAAGCAGCCCACACCAATACTTGGTATACGAGTCAGGATTCTCCAGAGAATCAAACCAGTAGAGGGTGTGTGTGTGTGTGTACAAAGAAAGTTTTATTATAAGAAATTGACTGACATGATTACGGAGGCTGAGAAGTACCAAAATCTGCAGGCAGGAAGCTGGAGACACAGTAGAGTTAATGTGTAGTTCCAGGCTATGTCCAAAAGCCTGAGAACCAGGAAGGTGTAAGTTCCAGTCTGAAACCCACATGGGCTAAAACCCAGGAAGAACTAATGTTTCAGTCCCAGACTGGAAGCAAGAAAAAATGTCCCAGTTCAAGTGGTCAAGTAAGAAGTTCCCTCTTACTAAGCCTTTTTTGTTCCATTCATATCTTCACTGATTAAATGAGGCCCACCCACATAGAGGAGGGCAATCTGCTTTACTTAGCCTACTGATTCGGTTCAAATATTAATCTCACCCAGAGATACCCTCACAGACACAGCCAGAATAATGTTTGACCAAATGTCTGTGTACCACATGACCCAGTCAAGTTGACACATAAAATTAACCACCACAACTTGGTAACCAATATGTTCTTTTTCTCAATGAACATTTTACCTATAAACACTTCACATGGGTTTGTGTCCATGGCATCTATAGAAAATTCGGAAGACCTGTGCTATGTAAGTGAAAGGAAAAGCAAACAGTTGCCCAGAGGCAACATCCATTTTATAGAAGTTCTCCTTCTGTGTGTACAGGTTTCCTGATATCAAATCTTATCCTCCCTTTATAATCCATGATAATTTACTCACAAATCCAACAGCTTGCGTTCTAGGGTATTTTCATTTTATTATGACTTCTGAATACTCCACAGTAATTTTACTTCTTAAAACAATGAAAATAAAATTTCCCTGTACCTTGAAAATTAGCTGGAAAAAAAAACTATAATTCTTTACATTAGGGTCAAATAAATGTTAAATTCTTGGAGCACCCCCAACATCCAGTATCTCATCAGACACCATTTGTCCCTCTATGAATAAAATAAATTTGTGTGTGTGTATGTGTTCTTTCCTTTGTTTCTTCATGTGGTAACCCCAAATTAAAATGATGGATAAATATATGCTGGACACTGACTTCATGGTGTCTTTAGGTGAGAGCCTCAAGCATTTCCTTTAAAATATTTCATTAAATTAAGCTCAACTTCTACCACCTGATCTGAACATTCATCTAAATAACTGTTACCTAATCGAAAAGTTCACCAACTCTGACAGAGTTGATATTATTGGTAATCAAAGTAATAAATTGCAATTCTCATCTGAAGCATCAAGGCTTTTTATTAAGAATTTGTGGAATACTTCAGATTTGCTGAGTGCTTTGCATTCCTGGTTAGTTATTCCTTGCTTGTGCCTTCTGAAATAAGCAGGCATTTTTGGAATATGAATTAGTCTTCTTAACCCTTCAAGCTGCTCATGCAGAGTAAGTTCAGATTCATAATAAGATCTTTCAAGTTAAGAATGTCTAACGCCATTTTTGTGATACAGCTAGCAAAGCAGTGAAATTTTAGCAACATTTAGCTAAGTTCTTTGCATTGATAATTTTAAAAGTCATTGGAGAAAGATAAGAGAAACAATCTTTTATTTCTAGTAAAATTTAAGAGTACATTTGCTAATATACCTAGTGGCTATTTAGCCAGCATTCACTCCTTATTCCACTAATAGAAGCTAAATATTTTTATTATAATTTTCAAAAATGGAAAACTGGAGCAAGAAAGACTTGGCAATTGTGTTCTTTTCCCATTGTGAAATGACATATTCATTTAGGAGTAAGGACTCATGACTTTTTTGCTGCTTTAATCCATATAACTTCCCAATGGAAGTTTTTTGTTAAAAAAAACTGAAGGTGCTTTGATGACGAGAATAGATGACTCTGATTTTTTTCCATGTATGTAGGGTATTAACTATCAGAGTCAGGAAAAGGCATTAATTAGTCCACCCTATATCTAGTTGTTTAACAGGTAGAAAAGCATTGAAGAACTAGAGATATTTCAGTGGTTACCTTCTACTATGTTTTCCATTTCTCTCATCCCTGTCCTCCAAACATGGTTTTTAGTTCTACAGGAAGTTAAATGTTACTATTTAAGATTCATTCCTATCTTGCATATCTCATAGTACAAGAACTAATGAAAAATTAAAAGAGCTGAAGTTAAAGGAAAAATGTAAAGGCAGAGTGATGTAGCCACAAACTTCTTCACAAGTATATTAGGACCATAATTTCAAGGTTGGTTGTATTTAAGAGACTCTGACCTCCATAATTCCTATAACTAAACTGGAAGCAAGTGTTAACCAAACATCTGTAATCTCAAAATAGTCATTGTGTAAATCTTGGAAACTTACTGAGAGATTTACCTTTTGCAGCTATGGAACTCAAGACTATTTTCATGAAAATTAGTGTGTAATATAGAAATAATCCGAAAATCTAAAAGTCAGAAATACCCTTTGTTAGTTCTGCCTTATACGATGCTTTATTATTCCAGTACTTTCTTGGAAGAAAACAGAGACAATCCTAAATTGGCTGAAGGGCTAAAGAGGACTTGCCTACAACACTGAAACCTCAATAAACAATGTTATGTTAACATTGTTAAAATTAACAATGTTAATTAAGCCTTTCTAGAATCCTTCCTGTTGGTGTCTCTTAATATATGGAACACGATCTTGCAAAAAAGTTGATTTTAACTGAATTCTATTTCCCAGTCAATACTCAGCTAAAAGCAAATATATGTTCTCAGAAGAGGGACTCCTCACTGAATAAATTGAAAAGATAGTGCTGGAGGACCACTTAAAGCACATTTTAAGTGACTTTTCTCATTTATCACTGCATGAGAACCTACCGTTTTTCTCTTTTTTTGGTTATTTTTTACTGAAATCCTCAACAATTTAATGAGGTACATACAATTAACCCCATTTTGTAGTATCTAAGTCTCAGTGGGAGTAACCTGCTCAAGATATCATAAGTAGTATCTTGTTCCAAATTCCATATAGTATTTTCAAATCTATTTTGCTGCCTTACCAGGCCTTTTTTGGAATTAAAATTTTAGCTCTGACTTTGATTGGCTACTGGCATTTAATTGGTACTATGGAGGAAAGGGTATGATCTTAAGGGCAGGCTGACACAGCCTCTCTCTCCACTTGTATGAGAAGTCAGACTAATTCAAACGTTGACTTCTCTCTTTTCTCTACCCATGACCTAGCAGGCTGCCAGAAGGAAGAAAAGAAAATACCTCACTATCTTATCAAACCATAAATAATAGAGGGGACTTGATGGGAAATAAAACAATGTGGAAATGCCAGAGTCTCCATCTAGTCAATCACAGGGTCACCGGCCACTCAGAGGGCAGCACCATCCATGGCCCTCTCCTCTTCTGCTGCATGTGACCTGAAAGTTTCCACAAGGAAGAAAGGGCTTGCATCAAAATATAATGTGTTCATATTTCAAAATCCCCTCTCTATATATTCGTTTCATTTTTTTAAAAAAGATCACACTTGTTTTAAATATATTTTCCAAAGGCTAAGGAACAAAAAAGTCCCATTCTCTGGCATGAGCCAGGCTGTATGTGTCCCATCATCTACCCTAAAGAAACATTTTGAGCTGTGATGCTGAGTGCATGCAGGTGGCTTCCTGTTTTCATGCACATTCAGTACAGTTGTGTTTTTTCTGATCCCTCAGCCTTTTACCTAATGGTTGTCGTATTCACTATTGACCTAGATGGAAAAGCCATTTTCTGTTTTCACTGAGGACACACGCATTCCCTATTTCTTTGTAGAGTCTTAGAAATTCTAAAGACATAAAATTTTCATGAGGAATTTCTTTGTAGAGTCTTAGAAATTCTAAGGTTATAAAATTGTAAGTTGTAGTAATAAGACCAACTATTTATTCTTCTCTATTTCCTTCTTCAATCAAGAAATTGCTCATAACTCTCAGTGGGGATTAGTGTCCTGCTGTCCTCCTCTAGTTTTTCATTAAACTTGGCCCAAGGGGAGACTCCTTCTACTGAGCTGTGACCAAAGAAGGGGAAAAAATAACCATACTCCTGGGCATGACCCTAACTACCTGCACAGGTATCAATGGCCGGTTTGCTGGAAGTGGTAACTCTACACTGCCAAGATGCCAGTCCTAAATACCAACAGCTGTGGTACCTTCTGTGGTGTGAGGCAGGGATGCTCACGGAAAACACTCCTCTAACTAGCAAGAAATAAGGATGCCTCACACCCGCTCTAAGAGAATTTTCAATTTGTTATACAAACTGAAAGCCTGCTTGGAAAACCTAAAATCTCATGTACTCCTTTATGTGTGAAATATTTTAAGTGAGTATTGCTTTGGTTTTCTAAATATAAAATTCTATTATAGTATTTTATTGGACTTTTCCAAATGATACCAGCCAGATTGTGATTTACTGGCTGCACCTACCACTGTCATCCCCTTCACTTGTCCTGCCTCCTCTATCCTCTCACTATGCTATTGTTCAGTTAAAGGCATACTTACGGGATACCCCCAAAGCAGTCCCCTACCCCTTTTGAGATTTCAAAACAAGTGTAGAATATTGGGAAAATCTCACCAAAAAAGGTCTTAAATCTTCTGAAAAGTTATTTGAAAGTAACTTTAGCCCTTTAAACGCACTGCGCTTAAGGGAAATTACACAGAATGAGGAGTTGAGACTTAGATTTAAACTCTCTTCTGCTGCTCTTGGCCATCAAGCTCCCTGACTCACCTTCAATTTGGTGAGTCCCTGCATGTAACCTGCCAGCTGCTTTCACATACACTATCACATTTATCCTCACACCAGCTCTACGAGGAAATCCTGTTGTTTCCCCTATTTATAGATGAACAAGCATGCTTAAGAGGAGGGGTTGTCTAAGATCTTGGAGCTCAGAATTAATACATGAGGATAAAAACCCAGGCTTGCAGACCCCAAGGCCAAGACCCCTCTCTGCCTTGCAGCTTAGACTAGAGGGTCACCTTTAGCACTTCTTCCCACGGTAACTTACTATGATCCTGTAATTTAAATTTTCTCTCATTTAAGGTTATTAAAAAGAGGCACCGATGAGGAAAATTTAAAATAAATAACCATCATAATTTATATTTTATAAATTGTAAAATAAATGTATATATATTATATATACATGTATACTTATATAATATATACATATATTACATATATACATGTATACATGTGTACGTATAACATATATATACATATTTATATATACATATACACATATATAATATATACATATATTATATATATACACATATATGTAATATATATGCTATTATAACAAAATACCATAAACGGGGTGGCTTTAAAAAAAAACAAAACAAATTTATTTTCCACAGTTCTGGAGACTGGGAATTTCAAGATCAAGGCACCAGCAGATCTAGTGTCTGGTAAGGACCCACTTTCTAGTTCATAGAGGTGCCTTCTTGCTGTAACTTCACATGATGGCAGGAGGCAAGAGAGCTCTCCAAAGTCCCTTTTAGGAGGGCACTAATCTCATTCGTAAGGGCTCCACCTTTACAATTTAATCATGTGATGGTCATATCATCTATTTCAGGGGGACACAAACATTCAGTATATAGCAGTGACTACTACTCCCTTCAAGATAAAGAGCATTACATCACCCCCAGAAAGTTCCCTTAGACTTCTTTTTTGTCCAGCCCCATCATCCCTGTCTCCTTAGGAAACCACTGGCTAATTGTTATGACCAGAGATTGTTTGCCTAATCTTGAACTTCATACAAATAGAATTATAGAAAAGGTACTCTTTTATAATGGGCTTCTTCCCCTTAACATGTTTTTGAGATTTATTCATGTTGTTACACCTATGAGTGGCTTCTTTTTTTATATTGCTGATAGTGTTTAATCATTAGAATATGCCATATCTTTAAAATCCATTCTCTTCTTGGACATTTGGATACTTTCCAGTTTGGGCTACTGCAAATAGTATGGCTAAAATAAACATTTTTATACAAGTGGTTTTTGCAGACATATGTTTCTATTCTCTTGGGTAAAAACCTAGGAGTGGAATTGCTTGATCTTCCAGCAGACATTTGTTTATGGGAAATAAACAAATAGTCATCCTGCTTACAACTCCCACCAGTCGCATATGAGAGTTTTAGTTCCTTCCCATCCTTGCCTAAATCTGGTGTTATTCTGTTGAATTTTAGCCATTCTAGGAGGTGTGAATTAATAACTAGTTTTGGTTTTAACTTATATTTCCTTGAGATCTAATAATTTTAAGCTCCATAAATGTATAGGCTATCTTATATCTTCCTTTGTGAAGCGACTATTCAAATCTTGTGCCTATGATTTTTATTGGTATTTGTCTTTCTGTAATTGATTTGTAAGAGTTCTTAACATATTTTGCATTAAAATCCTTTGACATATATAGATATATTTGAACATTTTTTCCCAGTCTGTAGCCTGGTTTTCCTGTTCTTAATGCTGTCTTTTGATAAGCAGAAATTATTCCTTTTGATGAAGAACAGCTATCAATTTTTCCTATTATGTTCGTGCTTTTTGTGTCTACTATATGAAATCTTTGCTTATCCCAAAATGGCAAAGGTATTTTCCTATGTTATCTCCTAGAAACTTCTAAACTTTGACATTGAAGGGTATGATCTATCTAAAATTTTGTGTCTAGTGTGAGATAAAGGTGGGATTTTGTTTGGTTTTTGGGTTTGCTGTATCTATTTATCAAGCCATTCCAGCACTTGTTAAAAGGACTTCCTTTCAGCCGTAACACATTTGTCAAAACTTAATTTACCATAATAGTATGAGACTTTCAACTGTGATAATCTTCTGGTTGTTTCAGAGGTCTTATTTCTTTGCATGTTCATATAAATTTTAGCAACTTGCTAATTTCTGTGCCACAAAAAGTTTTGTGGAATTAGCGTTGCTTTTAATGTACAAATGAATTTGGGTAGATTTGACAACTTACTAATATTTGGTCTTCAAATCCATGATCATATATCTCCTCATTTACTTGGCTCTTTTCAATTTTTTTCTGAGTAATATTTCAAATTTTAAATGTAGACATTTGATATGTCCTTAAAAGTTTATTCCTGTATGTTTATACATTTTGCAGCTATTATAAATACAATTAATTTTGTAATGTTTCCAATTGTTCCTAGTAGTATGTGAAAGTGTGATTAATTTTTCATGTTGAAATGTATACTGACATCTTACTAAATTACCTTGTTAGTAGTTATATTCGTTGTTTTGTGGATTCCTATGTAAACAATGATTGCATCTGCAAATGGAGATAATTTTACTCCTTCCCTTCTACTCTATATGCCATATATTTCTTTTGCTTGCTTTTTTGGCACTCATAGGCACCTCCAATACACGGCTGAATAGAAATGTTCAGAATGGACACCTTTGCGTGTTTCCAGTCTTAGAGGGGAAATTGCTCAATAGTTACCATTATGTACGATGTTAGCTGTATGTCCCTACCCAGAGTTAGTCAAACTGCAGAGTTAAGGGTATAATCCTCCAGATTACCTAGTCTGCCCAAGAATTCTGACTCCACCTGCAAGGAGTTAGGGTCCGACCACAAAGTAAGAGGGAAGAGTACACTCAAGATCACCCTTACTTCTGACACCAAATGCAAGTTTTGGTGTTTCCCAAAAGAATCCTCAGGTTTGATAATTCACTGGAAAGATTCACAGAACTTACTAAAATTTTTATATTCCTGATTATATTTATTACAAGAAAATGTTACATTAAAAATCAGCCAAGGGAAAAACAAATAGGGCAGAGTCTAAGAGGATTCCAAATGCGAAGTTTCCATTGTCCTCAGGAATACATTATTCTACCAGCATCGATGTGTAACAAAAGCATGGAGTATGGCCAACCTGAAAGGCTCACCCAAACTTTAGTGTCTACAGTTTTCACTAGGCATTATGACATAGGCATGATTAATTGGTTGAACTTAACCTCCAGCCTGTCTCCTCCTCAGGTCAGGCTGATATCACATAGCTCAAAGTTCCCTCCCTAAACTATGATTGGTCTTTCTAGTGTCATTATACCCCACCCTAAGACTGACTAGTGTAGAAGGCCCTGCCCTGAGACATCTCATTAGCATAAGCTATCAGGTGTAATTTAAGGGAGCAGCATAGATAAGAAAACCTGTGTAACTCATAAAATTCCAACTGTTTAGATGTTGCCTCCCAGAAACTGAAAACAAAGGTCAGATATCTCTTTGGATGAAGCAAATTCTTTACTACAAAGTATCCTTTATCAGGTTGAATAACTTTTTTACTATTCCTAGATTACCAGTAGTTTTTATCACAAATTGTTGGATTTTCTCAAATGTTCTTCTATATCTATTAAAATAATCATATTGTTTACTCTGTTAATATAGTAAATTACATTCATTGATTGTTGAATGGTAAGCCAGTCTTGCATTCTTGAAATACATCTTAGTCTATTATGATGTATCATAATTTTTATATATTGATGGATACTATTTACTGACATTTTATTAACAATTCTTTTGTCTATGTTCATGAGGAATATTGGTCTGTAATTTTGTTTTCTTATAACATTCCCATCAAGTTTTGGTACTAGAATAATGTGGATCTTATAAAATGGATCAATAAAAGGGCCCCATCCTCTTCTTTTTCCAAGTTTGTTAATTCGTTAAATATTTGATAGAATTCAATAATGAAACTAACTGGACCTTGAGTTTTCTTTATGAGAACTTGCTTCAAAACAAAATGTAAATTTTTAAATTAATTAATTCATTTTTTTTCTGTTTAAGACAGAGTTTCACTCTTGTTGCCCAGGCTGGAGCGCAATGTCACGATCTCAGCTCACTGCAACCTCCGCCTCCCAGGTTCAAATGATTTTCCTGCCTCAGCCTCCTGAGTAGCTGGGATTACAGGCATGCGCCACCACGCCTGGCTAATTTTTGTATTTTTAGTAGAGACGGGGTTTCTCCATGTTGGTCAGGCTTGTCTCAAACTTCCAACCTCAGGTGATCCGCCCTCCTTGGCCTCCTAAAGTGCTGGGATTACAGGCATGAGTCACAGCACCCAGCCAAATTTCAATTTATAGATACAGGGTTGATTCTTTTTGAATAAATTTTGGCAGGTTGCTCAATAATTTATCCATTTCATTTAAATTATTGACATTTTTGCAAAAAAAAAAAAAAGCCGGTAGAATTTTTTATCCCTTTTATGCCTATGGGTTCTATAGTGATAACCCTTTTTTGTTATCTGATATTGCTAATTTATTTTTTCTTTTATCTTTCTTAGTCTTTATAGGGTGTTATCAATTTTCAAAATGACCTCAAATAACTTTTTGCTTTTTTTATCTCTATTGCTTATTTTTTATGATTTTGCTCTTATCATTACTACTTTTTTCTTTACATTTCCACTTTTTCTCCTTTCTCTGATTTCTTGAAATAAAAATTTTGATTCTTAGTATTAGACTTTCTTCTTTTATAAGACAAGCATTGAAATTATAAATTCCTCTCAGCACTGTTACCTGTGTTCCACAAATATCGGTATGTTGTGTTTTCTTATTCATTCAGTGAATGTTTCCCTGTGGTTTCTTCCTTGAAGTCAAGTGACTAGACCTGTATGAAATTCCAAGCATTTCTTTTTTTTTTTTTTTTTTTTTTTTTTTTTTTGAGACGGAGTCTCGCTCTGTCGCCCAGGCCGGACTGCGGACTGCAGTGGCGCAATCTCGGCTCACTGCAAGCTCCGCTTCCCGGGTTCACGCCATTCTCCTGCCTCAGCCTCCCGAGTAGCTGGGACTACAGGCGCCCGCCACCGCGCCCGGCTAATTTTTTGTATTTTTAGTAGAGACGGGGTTTCACCTTGTTAGCCAGGATGGTCTCGATCTCCTGACCTCATGATCCACCCGCCTCGGCCTCCCAAAGTGCTGGGACTACAGGCGTGAGCCACCGCGCCCGGCCCATTTCTTATTTAATTCTTTTTTGTCAACACAACCTACTACATAATCTTTTAGTCTTTGAAGTACATTGAGATTTATTTTTTGGCCTAGCATGCAGTTTTTCCTTGTGAATACTCCACGGACATTTGAAAAAAAAAAACTTGTTGGGGGCTTATGGGTGTAGTGTTGTATAATTGTCATTTAGGATTAGGTTAAGGTGAATCATAGTTTGTTTAAATATTCTTACCCTTACTTACTTCTTTTAAATTATACAAAATCACTTCACATGTAATGTAAGAAGGTAACAAGCATACACTTCTATTTCCCTTTCAGGTATTTTGTGCCATTGTTGTTATTTATCTTCTAAGTACTAAGCCTCACAACACACTGTCATTATTTTATGCTCTGCAGTCTATTATCTGTTTTAAAAATTAAAAATTATGAGAAAACTTTCTTTTGTATCTACTTATTTACTCCTTCCAGCACTCTTCTTATTTTTAGTGGATCTGAACCTTTGTCTATCACTTTCATTCTGAAAAACCTCCTTTGACATTACTGGGAGTGCATGTCTACCGCCAGTAAATTCTGAGTTTTCATTTTTATGATAATGTTCTTATTTCATTTTTAATTTTGTTTGCTAATTTCATGGGTACAGATTTCTAGGTTGATACTTCTTAGAATATTGAGTACCTTAAAGATGTGCCATTGCTTTCTGGCTTGTATTGTTTTTAATGAGGAGTAGTTGGACTTTGGCCAGGTGTGGTAATGCAAACCTGTAGTCCTAGCTACACAAGGAGATCAGCCAGGTGGGTGGCTCACACTTGTAATCCCACCACTTCGGGAGGCCGAGGCAGGCAGATTGCTTGATGCCAGGAGTTTGAAATCAGCCTGGCCAACGTGGCAAAACCCTGTCCCTACTAAAAATACAAAAATTAGCCAGGCATAGTGCCACACGCTTGTGATCCCAGCTATGCAGGAGGCTGAGAACCTGGGAGACAGAGGTTGCAGTGAGCCAAGATTACACCACTGCACTCCAGCCCGGGCAACAGAGCAAGACTCTGTCTGGAAAGAAAAAAAAACAGAGGCTAAGGTGGGATGATCGCTTGAGTCCAGGAGTCCAAGGCTGCAATGAGCTATAATTGTACCACTGAACTCCAGCCTGGGCAACAGAGCAAGACCCCATCTCTGGAGAAAAAAGAAGTAATTGGATATTATTTTTCACTGCTTTTGAAAATTTGGAAAAAATTTCAGCAATTTTTTTACATATATGTTTACCCTCCTTTCTTCATAAGACTCCTGGTATACATATATTAGACTGCTTGAAATTGTCCCACAGATCCTGTCTCAATTTTTATTGCCTTTACTGTTTTGAAAAGATTCATGTTGCATAATTTCTATGTCTATAACTTAATTGTCACTGATTTTATTTCAGTTGCAATATCTGATCTTCCAGTAACCCCATACATGAAATTATCATTTCTGATCTGTGTTTCTCAGTCCTAAATATTCAACTTTATTTTCAGTCTTCTCTTTCTATTATTATTATACTAATGTTTTCCTCTAAATTCTTATAAACTTCTGTAATTCCTATTTTACAATCCTTGCCTACTAATTTAATTATTTGTAGGGTTTTATTAATTCATTTTTTCTCCCAATTATAGGTCACATTGCTCTATTTCTTTGCATGTTTAGTAATTTTTGTTTGGATGTTGGAAATTTGGATGTTATATTGTTTTGAATTTTGTTTGACAGGTAGCCAAGTTACTTATGGATCAGCTTAACTTTTTTTGGAGCTTGGTTTTAAACTAGATTATGATGGATGTATCCAAATTAGTACTTGAAGAAGGAATCAAAGGAATGCTTATGTAAATTTCTCATGCGCTTTTCTTTGCATAACTCTACCTCTTTCCTGCAATTTTCATCATCTCCTTCCAGCCAAGTATGATTTCTGCCTTCTCAACTCAGTGAAAACTCTTTTCTGCTTGGGTCCTTATTTTTGGCACCACCAGAAAATACTTCCAGGCACAAAGCCTGGATTGTCATCAAGTGCAACTAGTGGCTTTTCCCTTAGAAATCACACAGATCAGAGTACTTTGCTACCTGTTGTCCAATGACAGAAAATACTTGTTCTTTTATTCTTTTTCTTAAAAATACATGTTTATGGCAAGAGAGCTAGCCCAGTGAAGCAACTGGAACATATGTGGATTTTGGTATTCAAGAGAGGTCCTGGAACCAGTCCACTGCTGATACCAAGGGACAACTGTACTATTTACTTCATCAGGATCATACATATTAAATGTTGGTACAATTGTCTTACCAATTATTGAGAAAGTGATATCGAATCATTCAATAAAGATTGTACATTTATTTATTTCTCCCTTCAGTTCTGTCAGTTTTTACTTTATACTTTTATTAGGTGCATATACTTACAATTGTTATAACTTCCTTATATATGAAACCTTTGTAATTACAAAATATCTCTCATTATCTCTGATAATTATCAATTATATGTAAGACCACCTCCCTATCTGTTTTCTAGGAATCTTCTGTCCTTCCATCCTGCCTTCTTTTGAATTACTTAATTAAGTTTTAGTATTACATTTTAATACCTCTACTGGCCTTTTAACTATACCTCTTTGTGTTCGTTTACTGTGGTTGCTATAAGGATTACAATAAGAACTCAAAACAATCTACTCATGTTAAAAATCTAAGATTTTTGAAGCATAATCCCATTTAACTTCCTCTATCTTTGTTGCTATTATTGTCACATCTGTTTTATCTGCATATATTATAAAGATCAACTGTGTTTTACATATATATGCATATAAAGCATATATATTAAACTGTTAGTTGTCTTTTAAAATATTTTACATATCTACAATCTGTATTTTTTTATTCTTTCTTACGTATCTGAATTCCCATCTGGTGTTACTTCCCTTCGAAGAACTTCCTTTAATGCTTCCTTTAGGAAAGGTCTGCTGGTGATACTTTTTTCTACTTTCTTTTCATTTAATTTAATATGTCTTTCTTTTGCCTTTAAGTGAAGGATCTTTTCACTGATATAAAATTTTGGGTTTAAAACTTTTCCTTTCAGCATTTTAAAGATGTTTAATTATCTCTGGTGTGCACTTTTTTTCTGATGAGACATCACCTGTTATTTATGTTATTGTTCTCCTGAACAAATTTTCTGTGGCACTTTCAAACATTTCTTTTTATATTTGCTTTTGGTTAGTATGTCTATGATTAACTTGAGTGTGTTTTTCCTTTTGCATTTCCTCCTTCCGGACTTCTGAGCATTTTGGATCTTCAAGTTAATGGGCTTCATCAAACCTGGGAAATTTTCTCATTGTTTCTTTAAATATAGTTTTGCCTCATTCTCTTTCTCTTCTGTTTGACTTCAAATACATGTATGTCAGCATATGTTAGCCTGCTCACTATCATCTCACAGGCCACTGAAGATCTGCTCACTTTTTTTTTTTCCACTGCCCTGGACTCCACCATCTCCTCACTTTTTTACTGTTTTCTTTCTCTCTGTTTTCCAGAATCTGTGACTTACAATTTTGTTCCTAGGTTCACTAATGCTTTCTTGTGCCACCTCTAATCTGATGTTAAGAGCATTTAGTGAATTGTTCAATATCAATATTCTAGTTTTCAGTCATAGAATTATTTTTGTTCACATTTTTTGCTGCTGATATTTCCATCTGCTCTCTCATTGTTACCAAATTTTCCTTTAAGCCATTAAGTGAGTATTATATAATTGACTTAAAATTCTTGCCTGCTGATTCCAAAATCTGTAAATCTGCATCACCTAAGGACATTCCCTGGACTTTGTGTTACATTTTTCTATTCAGTGTATGTATTGTAA
Source organism: Homo sapiens (assembly GCF_000001405.40). Lineage (NCBI taxonomy): Eukaryota > Metazoa > Chordata > Mammalia > Primates > Hominidae > Homo > Homo sapiens. The sequence continues at coordinate 105,567,830 of NC_000003.12, forward strand.
CTTTTTTACTATATAATGGATTTTGTGGGTGATATGTTTTAGATTATAATTTCTGTTATATTTTTCTAAAGGATATGAGTTGCTTTTCCTAGCAGACAATTAGATTACTGGCTAATTACTCTACTGTCACCTTGCGCTTGTGATGGTTAATTTTACGGTTTGTATTCCATGTCTGTCTTAGGATGAATGTCTAGTTCTTTTATTTTATTTTTTTTATTATTTTATTTTATTTTATTTTTTTTTTTTTTTGAGATGGAGTCTTGCTCTGTCACCTAGGCTGGAGTGCAATGGTACAATATCTCGGCTCACTGCAACCTCTGCCTCCTGGGTTCAAGCGATTCTCCTGCTTCAGCCTCCCAAGTAGCTGGGATTACAGGCACACGCTACCATGCCCAGCTAATTTTTGTATTTTTAGTAGGGACAAAAATTTTAGACAAAAAACTTTTAGTAGGGGTTTTACCATGTTGGCCAGGCTGGTCTCGAACTCCTGACCTCAAGTGATCCACCCACCTTTGCCTCCCAAAGTGTTGGGATTACAGGTGTGAGCCACTGAGCCCAGCCTGTGTCTAGTTCTGACACATAGTCTTTCTTGTTTTTTCTGGGGTTTCAGTACCAAGACTGATGTGTTTGCTAAGCACTTCTGGCTTGGTGAAGTTCAACTCCAAACTGTGTGGGTAGTACCTAAAAATCTATCAGGCTTCTAAGCCTTCTGGTATTGCTTTCCACTAAGCTCTTTGAAATTTCTCCCACATATGCTATTCAGGGGGTCATCCAAGGAGCTTATCATAGTGTATACGCAAATTTGGAATTCTTGCCACCCTGTGGCTGTCTCCTTTCTAAGATTTTTCTTCCTTGATTTCCAGCTTTTGGTCTACTTAGACCATGCCTCCCAAGCTGAGAAGTGCCCTCAGAGGAAAAGCCATGTAAAATTTTCTTTCAATTTCTACTTTATTTTTGTCACTCTCAAATACATTCACATACTTCATTCTGTACTTTTCTGAGGGTTTATAATTGTTATAAATATAAGAGTTAACAAAGTACACTTGGTGTTTTGTTTTTTTTTCAGTGTTACTCAAAACAGAACTCCTTGTAGTCCATGCTTTATTTTAAGGTTGTGAAATCATTTGCACACTCAATGAGAATATGGCTTTATTCTTACCATACAGGTCAAGGCAGATTAAAAAACTTAAAATTGCAATTTATATTATAGTAGTCACTGTCCTGATGTATTACATTGTTGTTTTTTTTTTAATTTTATTTTTTAGGATTTACCAACTGAATGTTGACTTCTTTATGTATCACTCTCTAGTTGCTCCAAACAAGTTATGATTCTTACTTTAGATGAAAGGAGTGGCAGTTAATGAAGTGAGTTTAAAAGAAAACAGACAAAAAGAGAAAGCAAAAGGAGAAGTAGAAAGAAAAAGAAAGGAGGAATGGAATGGAGAAAAAAATTAGAGGACTGAGAGAAGACAAGGGGAAGAAAAAAGAGAGGAGAGAAGAGATTTTGGGGATTATGTGGCTTTTTTAAATTGCCACAATATCTTACTGATTTATAGAAATTATAGTTATTAGGATATATAGTTAGTAGCTATTAGAATAATCAAAGACCTGTTTATGAATATAATTTTGTGCAGAACTATCTGGAAAGGTTGGATTAAGAATCACTCAAGTTCTGTCATTTCAATGTAGTATTTTGTCAACTTGCTTATAAAAAAAAGCAGCTGGGTATGTATGGACTTCATATTGGTGAACACTAATATATTAAGGAACAGTGGAAGGAAATAGACATAAAGGATCATGTCAGTTCAACTTAGTAGAATAATGATCTTTTGGATGCCTACCATGTTCTAGTCACTGTATTATGTGCTATGGATAAAATATAAATAAAACATGGCTATTATTCTCAAAGAGTTTGTGGTCAAGTCAAGGAAACTAAAGAGATGTCTCACATCTCAGTGTTTCCTTGGGGCAGATGGATGGAGAAATGAGCTAAGAGCTTGAAGGGAAAAGCTGGATTTCTTTGCATTTTTTGAGCTAAAGAAAGGGATACTTTCTAGGATGTCAATTAGAAGCCTGAAAGAACCATGCCTTAGGAATAGGAGCAAGCCAAAGGTAGACCAAATTTTACTAAAATTGCAGTGGGGCTCCAACAAAAGTCAATAACCTGATAGAATTGTGTAATCAGCCCCTTAGCCTAACAAAGGAAAGGGGGAGCCATAGCTGATAGAAAATAACATTCTGTAGGGTCTCTACAGTTCTTTTGTTCATAGGGTCAGCAAAATTTAAAAGGACAAGATATTCAAAGAGTCAAGAAAATACAATCAATAATCTAGAGAAAAAGTAGGTAAGATAAGCAAACAATAACTGAATTATTTGAATATTGTAGTTAATAGATAAGGCAATGAAAATAACTATAAATATATAAGAAAATGTGTAAGAAAAGATACTCAAAAGAGATAAAAGGAGTAGAGAATTCAAATGCAATAATTGAAAAGAGAAAAAGAATTATATCTTTCAGTTCCAAAATGTCAATTTGATTTTAAAGGATCAAATTGACATTTGGGAACTGAAAGACATAATATTAAACACTGTGTTTTCAGTGGATGAATTTAACACAGATGGGCCACAGCAGAGCACAGGAAAAGGAAATTGGAATACACATCGATAGAAGACACACAGACTGAAGCACAGAGAGGAAAAAGAACAGCCAAGACCAACAAGAGCATAAGAAACATGTGGACACACACATGTCTAAGCTATGTATAGAATTGAAATTCCAGAAGAATGAAAGAGCAAGAATAGCAATCACCGGTAAAATAAATAAATACATTGTGGTTTATTCACCCTATGACATCCTATAGACCAATGAGAATGAACAATCTATAATCATATGCACCATTATACATGAATGTCACAAACTTAAGGTTGAGTTTAAATAAAAGGCAAACACAAATGAATAAATCTGAGATGATTCCATTTATGTACAAATTACAATAGCAGGTAAAACTATTATGTGAGAATTCAGGTTGTAGTAGCCTTTGGGCAGGAAGTAGACTGCAAGGTCATATAATGGTCTGCAATTGTCTCTTATTCTGGATGCTGGGAGGAAAGGAAGGAAGGGAGGGAGGGAAGGTGGAAGGGGTGCACTCTTGGACATACAGCTACCATTTGTTCTGCTTTCTCCTAGTTAGCCACAAACCCTTAATTGTGTAATTAAGAAAATCTGATTTAATGTCTTAAAGAATAAGAGCCTAGGCATGGGTAATCAAAGTAGCCGCTAAGGCATTGGTTTTCAAACTGTGGCAGGCAGTGGAATCACCTGAGGAGTTGTTTAGCAGAGATCGCAGGTCCCATCCCCACAGTTTCTGTTTCTGTTTCTGTAGTTCTGGTATAGGGCCCGAGAATTTGCATTTCTTGCAAGTTCACAGGGGATGCTGATACTGCTGGTCTGGGGACCATAATTTGAGAACCAGCCACGTTAAAGTTGCTATAGCTTCTGTTGTCGATGTTCTATCATAAACTTGGTCTCAATAATCTGGTTGTTGTTGTATTCAGTAAAACAGAATATTCATAAAGATAGACATAGGGTGTTAGCTCAACTGGGATACATGATAGGGAACACCAGAAGGGAACGCGCCTTCATGAAATGTCCTTAAGAAAATTTTTTTGGAGAAAATTCGCTTAGAACAAAAATTTACACTATCAAATGAGTTACTTCCCAGAAAGTGGAGAGAAAAATAACCTAGCTAAAAACATGATGCACAAAGTGTTGTATAGTCTGTTTTCAAAATAATTGATTTTTTTTTCTCTTAGCATACATTTACTGGAACCCCATCACCAAGCTAATTTCAGTACAATGTGCTCCATTATCAGTCAAGGCTCACAGATATGGAAATTTTTGCCTAGCGGTTTGCTGTAAAACATTTGCTTTTCAAAGACACATTAATTCAAATCTTAAAATTAAATATAAAAGTTGAACATGTATGTGTCAATATGATGAAGTTTATTTAATTCTCTTACAGGACTGCATCAAAACATGTAAACAAGGACCTCGGTAATATGGAAGAAAACAAAAAGTTAGAAGAAAACAATCACAAAACTGAAGCCTAAGAGAGAAACTGTCCTAGTTGTCCAGGTGAGTAGTCTGTACGAGGTTCATAGAAATAATTCCCTAGCAAGTAGGAAACATCCTTAAAGATGAAGTCCTTTATGTTAAGATGCTCCATAATTACAGCTTTCAAAACAGGAAGAGAGGGGTTTTTTTTCTTTTTATTATGCTTTAAGTTCTCAGATACATGTGCAGAACGTGAAGGTATGTTACGCTGGTATAAACGTGCCATGGTAGTTTGCACGCATCAACCCATCATCTACATTAGGTATTTCTCCTAATGCGTCCCTCCCCTAGCCCCCCACCCCCTGACAGGCCCCATTGTGTGGTGGTCCCTTCCCTATGTCCATGTGTTCTCACTGCTCAACTCCCACTTATGAGTGAAAACATGCAATGTTGAGTTTTCTGTTCTTGCGTTAGTTTGCTGAGAATGATGGTTTCCAGCTTCATCCATGTCCTTACAAAGGACATGAACTCGTCCTTTTTTATGGCTGAATAGTATTCCATGGTGTATGTGTGCCACATTTTCTTAATCCAGTCGATCACTGATGGGCCTTTGGGTTGGTTCCAAGTCTTTGCTATTGTGAACAGTGCTGCAATAAACATACATGTGGATGTGTGTTTATAGTAGAATGATTTATAATTCTTTGGCTATATACGCAGTAATGGGATTGCTGGGTCAAATGGTATTTCCGGTTCTATATCCTTCAGGAATCACCACACTGCCTTCCACAATGGTTGAACTAATTTACACTCCCACCAACAGTGTAAAAGCGTTCCTATTTTTCCACATTCTCTCAAAACAGGAAGAGAGTTTTTCGAAAGGAAACTTTCGTGACTCAGAAAGTGTTTTCGGAAGAATGGAAACTTACCAGTTTCCCCCACTCCCTCCTCAAAATAATCATTATCTTCTGAATAATAAAAACCAACTATGAGATGTTAACATTCAACTATCATTTTATATTTTAATGCAAAAACTTTAAGTGCAAAGAAGCTTTATTTTTTGAATTGGTGTTTGGGTTCAGTAAGAACAGATTCTAATACCTTAGATTTGTTTTAAATAAATGATTATGAAAATAATTTTAAAATATGAAAATTTTAGGCCAGGTATAGGCAATGGCTCACGCCTGTAATCCCAGCACTTTGGGAGGCTGAGGCGGGTGGATCACTGGAGACTAGAAGCTCCAGACCAGCCTGGCCAATGTGGTGAAACCCTGCGTCTCTACTAAAAATACAAAAATTAGCCAGTCCTGGTGGCAAGCACCGATAATCCCAGCTACTCCAGTGGCTGAGGCAGGGGAATCACTTGAACCCAAGAGGTGGGGGTTGCAGTGAGCCAAGATGGTGCCACTGCACTCCAATCTGGGTGACAGAATGAGATTCTGTCTCAAAATATAAAAATAAAAAAATAAAAAACTTTAATCTAGATATTTAATAAAAGCGTGAGTGTATTTATACAGCCAATATCCCAAATCATTTTAATGAAAAGCATAACAAACTTGTGCACGTGTGTATACATATACGCATATGCTTTTATAGGTAGTATATGTATGTGTATGTGTATATATGTATCCATGTATCTATATGCACATATGTAGAGGCATATGACTGTTATATTTAACATATAAAATAGCTGTGTGTGATTTTTAAGACAATCTCAAAAGAGGTATGTTTCCATGGCATTGCCACCTGCAATTTGAGGTTTTTCTTTTTATTTGTGTTCCCTTAAACCAAGCAAATAGAAGAGCCATTTGGACTATTAATGTGTCCTTTAGAATAACTGTTACTATAGCTTACCGATATGATATGACAAGCCCCAACCGCCACAGTAAACCTCGGGTTCATTATAAATAAACCACAAGTCACAATTTGAGTGGGTCATCCAAGTTAATCCCATAGTAAGGATGGAGCGTGAGAAAATACTGAATTTAAAAGGATGCACACAGGGGAGAACAATAGAATAATTGAAACAAGACTTGGTTTTTAAAATCTGAAAGCCAGGATTTTAAACTGATGGGGTGAAAGGAATCAGAACTGGATTGCTTCTCTATCTCACCTTTCATTGGAGGTCAAGTATGCAGCATTCCCACATGACTTTTTTTGTTTGTTTTTTCCACTTCTCTAGGGTTCTTTTCCCCAGTCCTTTGTAAACATAGATTTTAACTACTGTTTTCTTCAAAATCGTATAACTTCTCAATGAAAAACTGTACTTGAAGACAAATCCCACGAAATAGTGTGATTTGAAGAAATGAGTGTACTTTTAACCTAAAGAGAAATGCAATGAAATATTTTCTTGAAAAAAAACTTGTAATATTAGTATTAATTTTACAAAAAAAGAAAACTCTGAATAATTCCAAAAACTATTTGTAGAATGGATGAAGCAATGCCTGAGATTATAGATGGGCTTGGGGACAATGGAGTTTTATAAAAGGCCCTCCTGTAAAGTAATTTACTAAATTACTTTTAGTACAAAGTATCTGTTGATGTTAAAAAATTATTGCTTTGGAAGCTTATCTAAATTATTTTTTTTTCATTTCAGAGATAAAAATCATATAGACCAATTGAAGCATGAACGTGGATTGTATTTAAGACATAAACAAAGACATTGACAGCAATTCATGGTTCAAGTATTAAGCAGTTCATTCTACCAAGCTGTCACAGGTTTTCAGAGAATTATCTCAAGTAAAACAAATGAAATTTAATTACAAACAATAAGAACAAGTTTTGGCAGCCATGATAATAGGTCATATGTTGTGTTTGGTTCAATTTTTTTTCCGTAAATGTCTGCACTGAGGATTTCTTTTTGGTTTGCCTTTTATGTAAATTTTTTACGTAGCTATTTTTATACACTGTAAGCTTTGTTCTGGGAGTTGCTGTTAATCTGATGTATAATGTAATGTTTTTATTTCAATTGTTTATATGGATAATCTGAGCAGGTACATTTCTGATTCTGATTGCTATCAGCAATGCCCCAAACTTTCTCATAAGCACCTAAAACCCAAAGGTGGCAGCTTGTGAAGATTGGGGACACTCATATTGCCCTAATTAAAAACTGTGATTTTTATCACAAGGGAGGGGAGGCCGAGAGTCAGACTGATAGACACCATAGGAGCCGACTCTTTGATATGCCACCAGCGAACTCTCAGAAATAAATCACAGATGCATATAGACACACATACATAATGGTACTCCCAAACTGACAATTTTACCTATTCTGAAAAAGACATAAAACAGAATTTGGTAGCACTTACCTCTACAGACACCTGCTAATAAATTATTTTCTGTCAAAAGAAAAAACACAAGCATGTGTGAGAGACAGTTTGGAAAAATCATGGTCAACATTCCCATTTTCATAGATCACAATGTAAATCACTATAATTACAAATTGGTGTTAAATCCTTTGGGTTATCCACTGCCTTAAAATTATACCTATTTCATGTTTAAAAAGATATCAATCAGAATTGGAGTTTTTAACAGTGGTCATTATCAAAGCTGTGTTATTTTCCACAGAATATAGAATATATATTTTTTTCGTGTGTGTTTTTGTTAACTACCCTACAGATATTGAATGCACCTTGAGATAATTTAGTGTTTTTAACTGATACATAATTTATCAAGCAGTACATGAAAGTGTAATAATAAAATGTCTATGTATCTTTAGTTACATTCAAATTTGTAACTTTATAAACATGTTTTATGCTTGAGGAAATTTTTAAGGTGGTAGTATAAATGGAAACTTTTTGAAGTAGACCAGATATGGGCTACTTGTGACTAGACTTTTAAACTTTGCTCTTTCAAGCAGAAGCCTGGTTTCTGGGAGAACACTGCACAGCGATTTCTTTCCCAGGATTTACACAACTTTAAAGGGAAGATAAATGAACATCAGATTTCTAGGTATAGAACTATGTTATTGAAAGGAAAAGGAAAACTGGTGTTTGTTTCTTAGACTCATGAAATAAAAAATTATGAAGGCAATGAAAAATAAATTGAAAATTAAAGTCAGATGAGAATAGGAATAATACTTTGCCACTTCTGCATTATTTAGAAACATACGTTATTGTACATTTGTAAACCATTTACTGTCTGGGCAATAGTGACTCCGTTTAATAAAAGCTTCCGTAGTGCATTGGTATGGATTAAATGCATAAAATATTCTTAGACTCGATGCTGTATAAAATATTATGGGAAAAAAAGAAAATACGTTATTTTGCCTCTAAACTTTTATTGAAGTTTTATTTGGCAGGAAAAAAAATTGAATCTTGGTCAACATTTAAACCAAAGTAAAAGGGGAAAAACCAAAGTTATTTGTTTTGCATGGCTAAGCCATTCTGTTATCTCTGTAAATACTGTGATTTCTTTTTTATTTTCTCTTTAGAATTTTGTTAAAGAAATTCTAAAATTTTTAAACACCTGCTCTCCACAATAAATCACAAACACTAAAATAAAATTACTTCCATATAAATATTATTTTCTCTTTTGGTGTGGGAGATCAAAGGTTTAAAGTCTAACTTCTAAGATATATTTGCAGAAAGAAGCAACATGACAATAGAGAGAGTTATGCTACAATTATTTCTTGGTTTCCACTTGCAATGGTTAATTAAGTCCAAAAACAGCTGTCAGAACCTCGAGAGCAGAACATGAGAAACTCAGAGCTCTGGACCGAAAGCAGAAAGTTTGCCGGGAAAAAAAAAGACAACATTATTACCATCGATTCAGTGCCTGGATAAAGAGGAAAGCTTACTTGTTTAATGGCAGCCACATGCACGAAGATGCTAAGAAGAAAAAGAATTCCAAATCCTCAACTTTTGAGGTTTCGGCTCTCCAATTTAACTCTTTGGCAACAGGAAACAGGTTTTGCAAGTTCAAGGTTCACTCCCTATATGTGATTATAGGAATTGTTTGTGGAAATGGATTAACATACCCGTCTATGCCTAAAAGATAATAAAACTGAAATATGTCTTCACAGGTCTCCCACAGCTGTCTGACTCTTGTCTAAAGTAGAATGTTCATGTGTGGAAAGTGATTGTCTTTATCAAATAGTGGAAAACTCACTGTGACTCTCCATCTTTCCAGAGAAGGAGTGCAGAAAAATAAAATTCACCATGCCTTCCTACTAGGTCAGGTGGGCTACCTTAGCTAGTCCCTAGATTTCACCAGTGATAGATTCTATAATGCATCTGTCTTCAAAGATAGGATCATACTTACTCTTGGGTGTCCCATGTAACTCTCCTAGGACCTTAATTACGAGAACATTTTCATATTTGTTCACTTCTGCCAATAACATTCTATTCAGATTGTCATTTGGAATTACCCAGGCCTGAACTTTCAGAAAATATATTCCCTCCAAAATAAGGTAAAGCCAGCTGTGTACATAAGAGAAGGAAATTAACATTTATTGAGCCCATACTATGTGCTAGGGTCATTCATACATTAACGCTTAACAGTTAACAGTTGTAAATAGTACTAAATATCCCCCTCATTTAACAGCTGAAAACCTGAGGTTTAGAGAAACTTCATAATTCCCAAATGCCGTTAGCTTCAAAGTAGATAAGTTGGGTATCAAACTAGATCTGAATCCTTGCCCCAACCTACGTACTTCCCTAAGTTCCTCTAAAGAATGCTCCTTTTCATAATATGTAAAATTGGAAAACGTTAATTGACACATGGACGGGTTATACCATTGATAAAAGGATTATTCTGAGATATTTAAATCATTCAGAAGGGCAAAATTGCATAATTTTTCTACAGTACTTAAACATATTAGACATGTTATTAGAATGTATAATATATTCCACATCATATTTTTAAACTTCACATATGTTATTACATACTAAGTGCCTATTATGAGACAGTACTGTATTGGTGCGTGTTTTAAATAATGTTTCATTGAATTTCTCTGATAGGAGAGGTGTGATGCCTATTTTAAAGATGAAGACTCAATGCATATAACTTTGTCACAATTCCAGATACAGAGTGGTTGAGCCAGGACCCATGCTCAAGTTGCTGAAGTTCAGGCTCGATTCATTATATTGTTTATCATCCCATTATAAGAATATACATCCGTCTACACTTGGAGAGACTAACAAAAAGATATATTAGCATTAAATAACCTATTTGTTTTTCTAGTAACTAGTGCCATTGATATTCAAGGTAATATGATTAAAATAAGACATTAAAACTGCTTTGAAAATAATAAATGACGGTGTAAATGTTAGCTGCATTTTAATCTTATATCTAAGGAATTAAATGGAACTAACTACTATTTGAAAAGTCAGTGCAGTATATTTGGCTGTATAAACATTATACTTTCACAGTGGGAAATATTTCAGTTAAACACTGAATATATATTTCTTATGTAGGCTTCTTCACTAAAACCTTCTTAAAAATACTCTGTATTTTTACATGAAGCCAGAAAACTGGGGCTCATTTTTTTTCTTAGCACTCTATCATCACCTGTTCATCCTCATTCTAATCAAATTTCTTTTTATCCTAATTCTGCTTCTCATATTTTTTCCTGATAAATGATTTTCACATGCACAAATATTCACTGGAAAATTAATACCTAGGCACATGACTCCAAAAGCAGATCTCATTCTCAAGTTATTTGTCTTATCCATTTTTATTGTCTGTCTCTGGGAAAGGTTTTACCCTGTAATGATCAAGCCTCTGAATGAGAGAAAAGATCTTCAATTGGGTATATAGATGCATGCGCATGCACACAAATACACAGAGGCAGACAACACACACACACACACACACACACACACACACAGAGGCACACACACTATGGGCTATTTTATCCCTTTTTTTTTTTTGAAGAGAGAACACAGGATTTGCTTATCAGAAAAGAAATCGAAGGACTACAAAATATTTGTCAAAAATAGAAAGCAGCTAAGAGGTGGAAGTATTCATGATGCTTTGATGGGAGGCATTCATAAGTCAAAGGTCCAATAGTGTATTAGACCCAATAGTTGCAACAAAATTTGTTTGAGTAAACCTAATCATATAATCTCTATGCTACCAAGAAACAAGTAAGAGCCTTAATATCACAGAGGCTCAAAATAATGTTTTTACATTCTTTGAAAGACCACATATTATCAGAGAGCAAAAGCTATAGTCGCCAGAAAGTACAGTATTTGATTAAAAAAAGAAAAATCTGGGGCTAGGCACAGTGGCTCATGCCTGTATCTCCAACACTTTGGGAGGCCAAGGTGGGAGGACTGCTTGAGCCCAGCCTGGGCGACATGGTGAAACCCAATCTCTCCATCTCTACAAAAGACACAAACAATTAGCCAGATGTTGTGGCACAAGCCTGTAGTTCCAGCTACTTGGGAGGCTGAAGTGGGTAGATCACTTGAACCCAGAAAGTGGACGCTGCAGTGATCTCTCCACTGCACTCCAGCTTAGGCAACTGAGCAAGACCCTGTCTCAGGGGGGGAAAAAAGTACTTTTGGATGCTGTCAGCAACTCAATTTGGACTATTTTGGAGTTAATAATCAAAATAAAATTTTAAGATCTCCCAAAAATATCTTTCTTTTGATTCTACTTTCTCAGGTAGGCCATAATAATTTTAGCTTCAATTAGCAGTTTAAATTCACGGCTTGATTCACATAACATCTGAGAGGCTCACTTGCACAGAGATAGCAGTTTTGGACAGCTCTGTGTAATTCTTTGAATTCTCATCAGTAAGGAAGCCACATTTTTTAGTTAAATAAGATGGGGTTACTGCTTGAAAACTGATTCACAACCCTCCCTGGAATGACTTATTAAGGAAATGGAATATTTCTGTTACAAAAAGGTTTATATCTAAGCATTAGAGTCATTCCTTGTATGCTAAACCTTTTCTAAAAACCAAGTTTGCTCTGAAATTTTGGGCTTCTACATTGTTGGTAATCACTAAATTTCTTTTTCTTAGCTTGATTATAATTGTCTACGAATATCCTTAAAATAGTCTTTAATTGAAAGCAAATAGTCATAACCTATTGTTGAATCTGATTCCAAGAAGAAGGACTATTTGAAATATTTGTAGGTTTATTTACCACAAATATTTTAAGTTACTACAAAAAGTAGTAATCTTTTTATAACATTTCTTAATTTAGAGAGCTTTTTGTTTAAATCTAATAGCAGCATACAAGCTGTGTAAAAGATGATGGGTTTTTGGTCACAATGGAAACACCACCACATAAACAACAGATCCATCTGCCCCCATGTTCCTAACTGATGAATCTGTTTACAGAGAAATGTCATTAAAAGATTGCCTGTAGTGGCTTTGTTACTTTTCTGTTAATTTGAGTTTAACCTTTCTTGAATGTAATAAAATAAACTCATTAAAATATCAAATATGTACTTCACAGTTATCACCACAGCACTTAACTATATGTTTTGTTGTCCTGATAACAATAGTAATGTATGTAATCAGTGTTCATTTCAAACGTTTACATTGATTGAGGAATATAGTTGATTTCATGAAGTTTCTATAGCGTTGATGGAGTGAACTTTACATTGGTCTCTTCAGCATCGTTGCCCAGTAGTACCTGGCATTGCACCAAAGAAAACCCAGTGCAGGGGCGGGGCAGCTTTTGTTGGTTCAGCTTCATCATTCCTCACTCTTATTATTGGATATCGCATATGAATGCTTGTATAAGTTGTGAATGGGAAATCTGCTTCTCAGTTTCTCCTTTAAAAGATTTTTCCAAGCTTTTGATCCAATGGGGAAATCCTGTGGTTGGGAGCAAAATCAAGTGGGCTTTACCAAAATAATTTGCATTCCATTTTAAAAATTAAAGTCCAGAATGGAGCAGCTGAGGTTTGGAAACTTGGATGAGTATGGGGAGCGGTTCAGTTATGATTTGGGTCTCCAAATCAGCTTGAATTTCCAGATTTAAACCACATGTATTTATAATAGCAATTAACTGAGCATTTGCTGAAAGATGTCTTTGTGTAATGACGCATGTGACTAACTATCAGCACCAATCAAAACAGTTGGTTTTATCCCTGGTTCACATTTTCTTCTTAGAGAAGAAAATTTTCTTCTCTCCGTTTCCCTCCCAGGGCTTCTACAAAAGTGGGAAGTTTGTGTTCAGTTTTAAGGTGAGTCCCATGCGGGCAGGGATGGCTCTCTGGACTTTGGAGGCAGCAGCTTCTTAGAGGAAGCTACCACAGTGTAAGTCTTTTCCCTCCATCCCTGTTTGTGCAGGTACCAGAAGATGCCTCCTTAAGTTAAAAGCTTTTGCAAAAAGCATCCTGTTGTTTCTTTGATGATCCATTTGTTGCATTAGTTGCCCTAATTCTTTACCCTTACTTATATCCATATCCTTTGCCATGTGACTTTGCAGCTCCTCCCACAAAAGTGCCAGAGCATCATTTCCCATCTCTTGATCCTACATTGGGCCATATGATTTGCTTTGGCCAAGAAAATCATATGGAAGTGACAGTCCACTAGTTCTGAGCCTCAGCCTGAAACTGCCTACTGTGTTTCCTCTTGCCCTTTTGTATTTGTCACTGCCATGAGAAAAACAGAAGCAAATAACCCTGCTAATGCCAAGAGGAGGTTGAGAGACACAGAGAGCAGATCTGTACCACATAAGGTGCCTCATTCAAGGCCAGCCTGGAGCAGAGCTCCTAGCCAATCCACAGGTACATGAGCAAGTCCAGCCAATGTCACTAAAGCCCAATCTGTACCAGCTGTCTCTCAGACAATCCACAGACATGTGGGCCACAATAATAAATAATTGTCGTTTTTAAGCCATTGCACTTTTACATTGTTATCATGCAACAATAACTAACTAGTACACCTTTTCACAGGCAGCTGAGTTCCTGATTGACTTATTGGTTATGGTAATATCAAGAACAGTCATTCCATAAAAATTCAGAGACATTTTATTAAAACTCCACTGATAAGTCTTTTGTGCTATCAAAATGCTTCCTTCCTCCTTGAGCTTTCTGGGACCAACATTCACGACCCAAAACCCTCAACGTATAGAAATATGCTATTGAATATACTTTAGTATCAATAAATAAAAATCTATTGTAGTAATGCCAGGTAGCAATTTAGAGATCATTGTTAAGTATACAAATCACACACAAGTCTCTTGACAGACCGGGCATGTGATGTGTTTTGCCTGGGCTGGGCCACATTTGCCCGTTTTCATTGTTCCAAAAGTTCATCGTTCAAGATAGGTTCGTACAATTGCTCTTTCTTTGTGCCCACATAATTACATGCCAATACCTTTCCTCAAATTAGAAATTATATTCAGGCAAGGGATTCTGCTGACACCACATTCCTCACCAAATGTCAGAGTCTCTTAAAAAATACTGTAAGCTCAAAAGGCCTAATTAGGTTTTCAGTAATTCATGTCATTGGTCATTAGGACAATCATACAAATCAGCAAGCACTCAGGTGTCCAGACACTAAATGGAGACACGAATCTAAAAGATCACCGGCAACAGCCCTAAAAGAAATCAAAAAAGTTTTCTCACTGCTTTCATTAACCTTTTCCTTACGTTTTCACATTTCAGGCACTTATTCTCTAGACCTATAAAACTGCTCAGCAACAAGGTTCGGGGAAAGGAGGTGGAAATAATATGGATTGTCTATTTAAATGACATGTACTTGGGAAGTAGTTATTAAACATACTTACAGATGCATACATCCTCACCCATTTTGCTGCAAGCTTTCGGATTCTGACTGTCCACCATATCCTGGATGAAGCAACAGTAACAACGATGAGAGGGGAGACAGGCGTACTTTGTTCTTATGTTCCCAAAGGGCACAGGGCATTCTTGAGGGACAGATGAACTTAATGATTTAATAGAAATACCATGACCTTTAGAAATAAGCAGACTCTGATTGGACTTCTAAATGAATACTATGGATCTACAACTTATTAGAAGTGAGGCCTTGAGCATAATACCTAAACCCCTGAGCCTCAATTACATGATCTGTAGGATGGCAGCAATATTAATTGTATCAGAGCTTGTTGCTCTTTAAAGGATAAAATGCACACATTAAAGAGAAAATGGGGGCTGGGCATGGTGGCTCATACCTGCAATCCCAGTATTTTGGGAGGCCGAGGTGGCAGGATTTCTTGATGCCAGGTGTTGAAGACCAGCCTGAGAAACACAGCTAGACACTGTATCTACCCCAAAAAAAAAAACAAACAAAAAACAGGTATCATGGTGTACATCTGCAATCCCAGCAACTCAGAAGGCTGAGGCAGGAGCATCACTTGAGCCTAGGATTTTGAGGCTGCAGTGAACTATGATCACACCAATGTACTCCAACCTGGGCAACAGAGCAAAACCTTATTATATAGTTCGACTGTGTTGCTACCCAAATCTCACCTTGAATTGTAACAATTAATCCTCAATGTGTCAAGGGCAGGGCCAGGTGGAGATAATTGAATCATGAGGGCAGTTTTCCCCATACTCTTCCATGGTAGTAAATGAGCCTCACGAGATCTGATGGTTTTATAGATGGGAGTTCCCCTGTGCAAGCTCTCTTGCCTGCTGCCATGTAAGACATGCCTTTGCTTCTCCTTTGCCTTCCGCCATGATTGTGAGGCCTCCCCAGCCATGTGGAACTGGAAGCCCGTTCAGCCTATTTCCTTTATAAATCACCCAGTCTCAGGTATGTCTTCATGAGCAGCATGAGAAGAGACTAATACACACTGTTAAAATTATAAAAAACGGAAATGACTGTGGGACCCACTATTAAGTACAGATTAGATTACTGCATAGCAGAGAAACCCAATTCAACAGAAAGGATAATGTTCCAAATTAGAGACAGTAAACAAAAAAAATTGTTGTCTGTTTGTTTGTTTGTTTTTTAATGACAGTCATAAGCAGTATCTTTTCCCATCTTGGGAAAGCAGTTTCTGAGAGCTGCTTACTTGCTGGTGGTATTTGGTCTAATAGATTAATCTTTATGCAAATACTGGCCTAGCTGTTTCTAGTCACTCCTGGAAATTATCTCCACATATATGAAGCATTTCTCATTTTAGCTAAAGTCAAATCTGTGCTTCTGTCAGCAGGGTAGATTGCAATGTCAAAATTTATCATAGGCTAAAGATCACAGTGATACAGAATGGTTGGACTCCTGGCTAAACACTACCCTTAATCCTGGAACTGCAGCCCTACGTGAAAATAGCTGACCTCATTTTTCCACCCAAATGTTGCTTTTTTGGCCTGCCACACCCCTAGCCTGTGCCCATAAAAAGACTTCAGCTAGCAGAGTAATACAAGCAGCTTACAGGCAGGGATACAAGCTGCTGAGCATCGGGGATACAAGCTGCAGAGTGGTGAGCAGAGAAGCAGCAACTGAGCATCAGAGACTATGGATAGACATGGCTACCTTCAGACAGTGAGGCTTCAGGGAAAGATCACCTTCTTCCCACACCATCCCCTTTCCAACTCCCCATTCCACTGAGAGCCACAACCATTGCCCAATAAATTCCTCTGCATACCCTACCCTTCATTCCATTCACATGACCTGATTCTTCCTGGATGAACAAGAACTCAGGTGCCAAGAGGGTGGGGGCTTGGCCACTGCTGCAGGGCTCACACAGAGCCTGCTCCCACCAGAGAGGAGCGACCAGCAGATTCCTGCATACATTCCCTCTGGTTCCCACACTTGCTGTGCAATTGCATGCTCCCTCTCTCAAGGAGTGGCAAGTGGCAGGCTGAGTAAAACAAGCCATCCAAGTTCCCACCCACAAAGGGTGTCAAGGGAACTATCCTGTCTCAACAGTTACCTCCTACACAGCAGGCACTCAATGTATATGAGTACATCTTACTTATCCTTGTCTACAGCAGTTAAATAATGTGGACACAGGTGGCTCAGTACAGCTAAGATTGACAGTGTGACATTTAGGTGACATCACCTCTTTCAATTTTCAATTCAGTTTAGTTACTTGCTTTCTTTGTATCCTAGTCTATTTTGACTATATAACCTGGCATGCTATGTTGGGAGAAAAAAATTAAATAATTTAATGAAAGAGCTTTAAAGATCCTCACCGATCAGAGATTTAGAGGGCATCATCAAACAAGAATCTTCGTACCTCCCACTATTTTCCCTTCTCCTTCCTTATGCTTCAAGTTGAGAGAATCAAAGCTGCAGATGCAAAGCAAGCACTGGGAGGGAATGGAGAAAAAGAGCAGTCAGATCTCACTTCTGTCTCCAAGCCTTAGTTATAAGAAATAAAAAAAAGAAAAGCCACACCTTACAATGAAGATTGGATTGTTGATTAATAGCTCAGACACCCTTATTGAGTTGAGTCCATGTTTTGTGATTTTAAGTGACTATAAAACTGTTTATTATCTATGAGTGGGCTAGAAACTTATGAATTCTGCCCCAGTTCCCATCCAGGGGCAGGGAACTTAAAAATAAGGCCCTTTTTGCTTAGGGATCTGCTTCTTTAGATTGAAAGTCATTGAGTGAACAATACAGCAACAAATTTAACAATTGCTAATTTTTGCCACATTATTACTTTTATGCCTACGCTTAACAAAGGAAAAATCACCTGCTATATGGAGCCATAAGTAACATCCGTTAGAATGCCAAAAGAAATTAGGCAATTGTGGAGAAGAACTGTTAGTGGTAATTTCTTTCTTACCTTTCCTCCTGTTTTTCTTCTCTTATGCAAGTCTTACACACAAACCAAGTAGTGGACGGCACAAATTATCCAATCGCCATTACAACTAATGAGATGAGCTTTCTATCAGCTTTCTATTGTATTCAATTACTATTTTGTAAACAAATCCATCTTCCATTGTGTCCTGGTACAAAACTTAGTAAACGGCCTTATAGAGTCCTTTTAATTATTGCCAGTGATAGTGGATTTAAAGGATTTGAGGTCATCTATCTAAATTAATGCATGGGCTGATTACAAAGTACGTCGCAATGCAATTTGTTTCTTAAAGGATCTTTTCTGAAATTAAAATAACACATGATTAGACTATCATTTCCTTGAAATTCCTCTGCATCCCAGCCAGCTTATAATTAATATGCAAGGATAATCATTCCAAATGCAACTTTTAATACCACTGACATGTTCCTCCCTTAGAAGCTAGCAATTTCTAATCCCTTTATTATTAATTTGATTAATGCAAACTACTATATGTGGCTGTGAAGGAACAGAGGCAAATCAAAGTTAGCACACTAACTCATTTAAATTTAAATTGCTGAGAAATGATATGCTCTTTAGCCTGTGATCTCAAGCAAAAGAAAAAAATATCTCACGTACCAAATAATAGATTTTTTTCATATATGAAGAATCCAAAGCAATACTTCAAGTTCAAAATGACTCTGAATTCTGGAATGACATATTCATATTCTCTGTGGATTTAAGGAGGAAAAAGAAAATTCAGAACACACCTGAATGACAGTAAAGTAACTCCAAAAGCAACTTGGTTAAACAAGAACTCATGTGCTGAATGAGAGGGTCATCCAGGCTACAAACAACACCTTAGAGAAATATAACCAAGATAATTTTATAAACCTCATCTAAATTTCATTTTCCATGCTAGTGTCCTTTTTGCATTTCACTGATCATCATTTTAGGCAGTTTTTCTTGTTCACCTTGAAGAATACATGATATTCTATAGACGGTAGCTTCATCTGCGTTTAGGTTTTGTGTGTGTGTGTGTGTGTGTGTGTGTGTGTGTGTGTGTGTCGTTGTTGTTGTTGTTTTTCTTTTTTTTTTTTTTTGAGATGGAGTCTCATTTTGTCACCCGGGCTGGAGTGCAGTCGCACCATCTCGGCTCACAGCATCCTCTGCCTCCTGGGTTCAAGAGATTCTTCTGCCTCAGCCTCCCAAGTAGCTGGGATTACAGGCATGCACCAGGACACCCGCACCGGGCTAATTTTTTTGTTTGTTTCTTTGTATTTTTAATAGAAACAGGGTTTCACATGTTGGCCAGGCTGGTCTCGAACTCCTGACCTCAGGTAATCCACCTGCCTCAGCCTCCCAAAGTGCTGGGATTACGGGCGTGAGCCACCGTGCTCAGCCTGTATTTAGATTTTAAAGTGTAATGCACACCTATAAACACACACACAATCTATTCATGTAAATAAGGAATGTGAAGCTCAGAAAAGTACTTTCTGAAGAGTCTGTATTCCACAGTATGAAAAAATATTTTTTATTTCAACGTTGTTGACTTACTTGCAATAGCCCATTCACCTAAAATGCCTTTGTTTTTCCCTGTAATTATCCAAATACTTCTCTTTTTTTTTTTTTTTTCCCAAAAAGTAGTTTATTCAGGAATAGCAAGGGATTGCAATCTGGGACATATGCATGCTATGGTGAACCATAGACACATCCAAAGGGGTTGGGGAAAGGGGGAAGCTTTTAAAGATAAAAAGGAGAAATTCATGTAAGCCATTTTCTTTTTTTTTTTTTTCTTTTTTTTTTTTTTTATTATACTCTAAGTTTTAGGGTACATGTGCACATTGGGCAGGTTAGTTACATATGTATACATGTGCCATGCTGGTGCGCTGCACCCACTAATGTGTCATCTAGCATTAGGTATATCTCCCAATGCTATCCCTCCCCCCTCCCCCGACCCCACCACAGTCCCCAGAGTGTGATATTCCCCTTCCTGTGTCCATGTGATCTCATTGTTCAATTCCCACCTATGAGTGAGAATATGCAGTGTTTGGTTTTTTGTTCTTGCGATAGTTTACTGAGAATGATGGTTTCCAATTTCATCCATGTCCCTACAAAGGATATGAACTCATCATTTTTTATGGCTGCATAGTATTCCATGGTGTATATGTGCCACATTTTCTTAATCCAGTCTATCATTGTTGGACATTTGGCTTGGTTCCAAGTCTTTGCTATTGTGAATAGTGCCGCAATAAACATACGTGTGCATGTGTCTTTATAGCAGCATGATTTATAGTCATTTGGGTATATACCCAGTAATGGGATGGCTGGGTCAAATGGTATTTCTAGTTCTAGATCCCTGAGGAATCGCCACACTGACTTCCACAATGGTTGAACTAGTTTACAGTCCCACCAACAGTGTAAAAGTGTTCCTATTTCTCCACATCCTCTCCAGCACCTGCTGTTTCCTGACTTTTTAATGATTGCCATTCTAACTGGTGTGAGATGATATCTCATAGTGGTTTTGATTTGCATTTCTCTGATGGCCAGTGATGATGAGCATTTCTTCATGTGTTTTTTGGCTGCATAAATGTCTTCTTTTGAGAAGTGTCTGTTCATGTCTTTCGCCCACTTTTTGATGGGGTTGTTTGTTTTTTTCTTGTAAATTTGTTTGAGTTCATTGTAGATTCTGGATATTAGCCCTTTGTCAGATGAGTAGGTTGCGAAAATTTTCTCCCATGTTGTAGGTTGCCTGTTCACTCTGATGGTAGTTTCTTTTGCTGTGCAGAAGCTCTTTAGTTTAATTAGAACCCATTTGTCAATTTTGACTTTTGTTGCCATTGCTTTTGGTGTTTTGGACATGAAGTCCTTGCCCACGCCTATGTCCTGAATGGTAATGCCTAGGTTTTCTTCTAGGGTTTTTATGGTTTTAGGTCTAATGTTTAAATCTTTAATCCATCTTGAATTGATTTTTGTATAAGGTGTAAGGAAGGGATACAGTTTCAGCTTTCTACATATGGCTAGCCAGTTTTCCCAGCACCATTTATTAAATAGGGAATCCTTTCCCCATTGCTTGTTTTTCTCAGGTTTGTCAAAGATCAGATAGTTGTAGATATGCGGCATTATTTCTGAGGGCTCTGTTCTGTTCCATTGATCTATATCTCTGTTTTGGTACCAGTACCATGCTGTTTTGGTTACTGTAGCCTTGTAGTATAGTTTGAAGTCAGGTAGTGTGATGCCTCCAGCTTTGTTCTTTTGGCTTAGGATTGACTTGGCGATGCGGGCTCTTTTTTGGTTCCATATGAACTTTAAAGTAGTTGTTTCCAATTCTGTGAAGAAAGTCATTGGTAGCTTGATGGGGATGGCATTGAATCTGTAAATTACCTTGGGCAGTATGGCCATTTTCACGATATTGATTCTTCCTACCCATGAGCATGGAATGTTCTTCCATTTGTTTGTGTCCTCTTTTATTTCCTTGAGCAGTGGTTTGTAGTTCTCCTTGAAGGGTCCTTCACATCCCTTGTAAGTTGGATTCCTAGGTATTTTATTCTCTTTGAAGCAATTGTGAATGGGAGTTCACCCATGATTTGGCTCTCTGTTTGTCTGTTGTTGGTGTATAAGAATGCTTGTGATTTTTGTACATTGATTTTGTATCCTGAGACTTTGCTGAAGTTGCTTATCAGCTTAAGGAGATTTTGGGCTGAGACGATGGGGTTTTCTAGATAAACAATCATGTCGTCTGCAAACAGGGACAATTTGACTTCCTCTTTTCCTAATTGAATACCCTTTATTTCCTTCTCCTGCCTGATTGCCCTGGCCAGAACTTCCAACACTATGTTGAATAGGAGCGGTGAGAGAGGGCATCCCTGTCTTGTGCCAGTTTTCAAAGGGAATGCTTCCAGTTTTTGCCCATTCAGTATGATATTGGCTATGGGTTTGTCATAGATAGCTCTTATTATTTTGAAATACGTCCCATCAATACCTAATTTATTGAGAGATTTTAGCATGAAGGGTTGTTGAATTTTGTCAAAGGCTTTTTCTGCATCTATTGAGATAATCATGTGGTTTTTGTCTTTGGCTCTGTTTATATGCTGGATTACAGAAGCTTCAGGAGCCGATGCGATCAACTGGAAGAAAGGGTATCAGCAATGGAAGATGAAATGAATGAAATGAAGCGAGAAGGGAAGTTTAGAGAAAAAAGAATAAAAAGAAATGAGCAAAGCCTCCAAGAAATATGGGACTATGTGAAAAGACCAAATCTACGTCTGATTGGTGTACCTGAAAGTGATGTGGAGAATGGAACCAAGTTGGAAAACACTCTGCAGGATATTATCCAGGAGAACTTCCCCAATCTAGCAAGGCAGGCCAACGTTCAGATTCAGGAAATACAGAGAACGCCACAAAGATACTCCTCGAGAAGAGCAACTCCAAGACACATAATTGTCAGATTCACCAAAGTTGAAATGAAGGAAAAAATGTTAAGGGCAGCCAGAGAGAAAGGTCGGGTTACCCTCAAAGGAAAGCCCATCAGACTAACAGCGGATCTCTCGGCAGAAACCCTACAAGCCAGAAGAGAGTGGGGGCCAATATTCAACATTCTTAAAGAAAAGAATTTTCAACCCAGAATTTCATATCCAGCCAAACTAAGCTTCATAAGTGAAGGAGAAATAAAATACTTTATAGACAAGCAAACGCTGAGAGATTTTGTCACCACCAGGCCTGCCCTAAAAGAGCTCCTGAAGGAAGCGCTAAACATGGAAAGGAACAACCGGTACCAGCCGCTGCAAAATCATGCCAAAATGTAAAGACCATCGAGACTAGGAAGAAACTGCATCAACTAATGAGCAAAATCACCAGCTAACATCATAATGACAGGATCAAATTCACACATAACAATATTAACTTTAAATATAAATGGACTAAATTCTGCAATTAAAAGACACAGACTGGCAAGTTGGATAAAGAGTCAAGACCCATCAGTGTGCTGTATTCAGGAAACCCATCTCACGTGCAGAGACACACATAGGCTCAAAATAAAAGGATGGAGGAAGATCTACCAAGCAAATGGAAAACAAAAAAAGGCAGGGGTTGCAATCCTAGTCTCTGATAAAACAGACTTTAAACCAACAAAGATCAAAAGAGACAAAGAAGGCCATTACATAATGGTAAAGGGATCAATTCAACAAGAGGAGCTAACTATCCTAAATATTTATGCACCCAATACAGGAGCACCCAGATTCATAAAGCAAGTCCTGAGTGACCTACAAAGAGACTTAGACTCCCACACATTAATAATGGGAGACTTTAACACCCCACTGTCAACATTAGACAGATCAATGAGACAGAAAGTCAACAAGGATACCCAGGAATTGAACTCAGCTCTGCACCAAGCAGACCTAATAGACATCTACAGAACTCTCCACCCCAAATCAACAGAATATACATTTTTTTCAGCACCACACCACACCTATTCCAAAATTGACCACATAGTTGGAAGTAAAGCTCTCCTCAGCAAATGTAAAAGAACAGAAATTATAACAAACTGTCTCTCAGACCACAGTGCAATCAAACTAGAACTCAGGATTAAGAATCTCACTCAAAGCCGCTCAACTACATGGAAACTGAACAACCTGCTCCTGAATGACTACTGGGTACATAACGAAATGAAGGCAGAAATAAAGATGTTCTTTGAAACCAACGAGAACAAAGACACCACATACCAGAATCTCTGGGACGCATTCAAAGCAGTGTGTAGAGGGAAATTTATAGCACTAAATGCCCACAAGAGAAAGCAGGAAAGATCCAAAATTGACACCCTAACATCACAATTAAAAGAACTAGAAAAGCAAGAACAAACACATTCAAAAGCTAGCAGAAGGCAAGAAATAACTAAAATCAGAGCAGAACTGAAGGAAATAGAGACACAAAAAACCCTTCAAAAAATCAATGAATCCAGGAGCTGGTTTTTTGAAAGCATCAACAAAATTGATAGACCGCTAGCAAGACTAATAAAGAAAAAAAGAGAGAAGAATCAAATAGACACAATAAAAAATGATAAAGGGGATATCACCACCGATCCCACAGAAATACAAACTACCATCAGAGAATACTACAAACACCTCTACGCAAATAAACTAGAAAATCTAGAAGAAATGGATACATTCCTCGACACATACACTCTCCCAAGACTAAACCAGGAAGAAGTTGAATCTCTGAATAGACCAATAACAGGCTCTGAAATTGTGGCAATAATCAATAGTTTACCAACCAAAAAGAGTCCAGGACCAGATGGATTCACAGCCGAATTCTACCAGAGGTACAAGGAGGAACTGGTACCATTCCTTCTGAAACTATTCCAATCAATAGAAAAAGAGGGAATCCTCCCTAACTCATTTTATGAGGCCAGCATCATTCTGACACCAAAGCCGGGCAGAGACACAACCAAAAAAGAGAATTTTAGACCAATATCCTTGATGAACATTGATGCAAAAATCCTCAATAAAATACTGGCAAACCGAATCCAGCAGCACATCAAAAAGCTTATCCACCATGATCAAGTGGGCTTCATCCCTGGGATGCAAGGCTGGTTCAATATACGCAAATCAATAAATGTAATCCAGCATATAAACAGAGCCAAAGACAAAAATACTTCTCTTTAAGACTAAAATTCAGCTGAATAAAGTTGTGATCGTTATTTTATTTTCTAATGACCTCCATGCACCTATACTTAGAAATATCTGGTTCATGGCTGGGCGCGGTGGCTCAAGCCTGTAATCCCAGAACTTTAGGAGGCCGAAGTGGGCGGATCACGAGCTCAGGAGATCGAGACCATCCTGGCTAACACGGTGAAACCCCGTCTCTACTAAAAATACAAAAAATTAGCCGGGCGTGGTGGCGGGCGCCTGTGGTCCCAGCTACTGGGGAGGCTGAGGCAGGAGAATGGTGTCAACCCGGGAGGCGGAGCTTGCAGTGAGCCAAGATCATGCCACTGGACTCCAGCCTGGGAGACAGAGCGAGACTCTGTCTCAGAAAAAAAAGAAAAAAAAAAGAAAAAAGAAATGTCTGGTCGTGACAGACCCTCAGTAAATAAGTATAGGAAAGAAGTAAGGCAAAAAGGGGAGAAGGCAGGGGAAGAGAGGAAGAAATATCACAGAACACATAGTAATTGAGGAGACCATGTAACTCAACAATCTACTTATTACGCTAAAGAATTTTTTCCCCATGCTTATGATGTTTAAGCAAATTGTTTTTATAACTACCATATTTCAGCAATGCTAAGGTCTGCCTTTTTCTTTCTCATATTTTACCTTCTCTATAACTGAGACGCAAGTTATGCTGACGAACCCTTACTTTGCCTGGCAGCAATCATAATATAGTTATCATTTTGTTAAAAAAAAAAAAAAAACAACAAAAGCTCCAGCATCGAAACTTGCAAAATTAAGTTTCAGAATGTTGGAGGAAAATTAAGGACACTCTTTTAATCTATAAGATACAAATGTTGTGGGTGGAGATGAGAAGGGCATGGATCAAGCTGGTTGAGCAAGTTCCAAATGAAATTCTAAGGTAGAATCTCTCGAAATCATTGTAAAATTGACTTAAGAGCCCAGCACCCATGGTCTTTAGTTATAGGTTGGCCCTTAATTGGACAAAGAAAAATGTGTGGAGAAGCGTAGACCTTGGTGACTGTCAACTGAAAAGCAATGTGGAAGAGTCATATTCAGAATTGTGAGAAATTCTAGGAATTGTTAATCAACATAGTTTACTAATATTGTTGATTTGTATGGCAAGAGTAATATATATAATTAAAAACTAGTGTCTAAATAATACTGAAACGGGAGAGTTCCCTGATTCTCCTAGCAGGACGTGCGAGAGGGGTGTGGCTCGCCTGTTCAGTCGCCCAGCAGCTCAAACCCCTAGGGAGAGCATGCAGACTGGCAGGTGCAGAGGCCTGGCCAGGATTTCGGCTCCAGCTCCGTGGTAGTGTCTAGGGGTGGGTGCCTGCAACCCCAGTGTTACAAAGCTCTTTCAGCTTTGCTGTCCACAGGTGGCTTGAGCGTTAACCAGCTCAATGGTCCCTCTGCCTTTTTGCAAGAGCAGAGGGCCAGTGTGACAGTTTTCTGTATCCTGTGCTCTTGTCCAGTGTCCCAGAAAAATCGGGTCACACACAGACTCGAAGGATGAATGTGAGGTTTTATTGAATGGTGGAGGTGGCTTTCAGCAGGATGGACGGGGAGCCAGAATGGGTGGATGGAGTGGGAAGGTGACCCTCTCCTGGAGTTGGGCTGCCCAGCGGCCGGATTCCTCTCTGACCACCCCTAGCTGAAATCCTCTCAGTGTTCAGATGTTCCTCCTCTTCTCCCTTTCTCTGCCTCATTGTTCTGCTGTCCATCTGCTGGTCGGCTGGCTTGCTGGTCTGCTTCTGGAGCTTAGCGTTTGGGGTTTATATGGATGCAGGAAAGGGGGCATGGTGGACCAAAAGGCAACTTTTTGGCATGAAAACAAGAATGCCAGTCCTCATTTAGGGCCACAGGTCTTCAGGCTTGAGGGTGGAGCCTTTGCCGGGAACTGCCCTCTTCTCCCCAGAATTTCCATCTCCTGTCTGTATCAATACCATCAGAGCTCTTTCAATAGGTAGAAAACAAAAATTCTAAGTGATAAATAAAAGAATGTGTTATAGCTTGATTTACAACATTTTTCTTTCCTACGGCATAAAACAATTGTGTCTTACAATTGGCATTCTGAGTCAATGAAATATAGTATATAATAAATAAGCCAAGGATAAATCACAAAGAATGATTCACATTAGCTAGAAAAGTATAAGAAATACAGTTGACTCATGAACAGTGGGTGGATTAAGTGCACCAATCCCCACCATTGATGGAAAAAGTGAAACTCTGTAAAATATTTGAAGAGATGTATTCTGAACCAAATGTGAGGACTGTGACCTGTGACACAGCCCCAGGAGGTTCTGAGAACATGTGACCAAAGTGGTGAGGTTACAGCTTGGTTTCATTTGGTTTTATAGTTTTAGGGAGACATAAGACATCAATCAATACATGTAAGGTGTGCATTGGTTTGGTCCAGGAAGGTGGAACAACTTGAAACAAGGGAGGCTTATAGGTCATGAATGGATTCACAGATTTTCTGATTGGCAGTTGGTTGAAAGAGTTAAGTCATTATCTAAAGAACTGGAATCAATAGAAAGGAATGTCTGGGATAAGATGAGGGACTATGGAGGCCAAGGTTCTTATTAAGTAAATGAAGTCTCATTAGGGACTGCCTTTAGAGGCAATAGATGGCGA
The DNA here is from genome assembly GCF_000001405.40 of Homo sapiens. Classification (NCBI taxonomy): domain Eukaryota; kingdom Metazoa; phylum Chordata; class Mammalia; order Primates; family Hominidae; genus Homo; species Homo sapiens. Next base: position 105,594,844 of record NC_000003.12, read on the forward strand.
ATGTTTCCTATTCCGACTTTCAATAGGTACTAGATTTTCAGCTAACCTCTTCAGGATCAGTAAAAGACCTGAAAAGGAAGGGGATTTTCTTCAGAATGTAAATTTCTCCCACAAGAGACAGCTTTGCAGGGCCACTTCAAAATACATAAAAGAAATATATTTTGGGTTAAAATGTTTTATTTCTTTCAGGGCCTGCTATCTGTCCTGTGATGCTATACTAGAGTCAGTTTGGAATTTGGTATCTTATTGCTACAGTTTGTTTTGTCAGTCTAAAGATCTCTGTTTTAATGTTACTGTTGGTCAGCTGTGCCTGAATTCCAAAGGGAGGAGAGTATGAGGCATGTCCAACCCCACCTTCCCATAATGGCCTGAACTAGCTTTTCAGGTTTCTTTTGGACTCCCTTGGCTGAGAAAAGGGGTCCATTCCATCAGCTGGGGGGCTTAGAATTTTATTTTTAGTTTACACCGCACAGTCCAAAATCTACCAATAACTTTTGATTCCCCAAACACTTAACTACTAATGGCCTACTGTTGACTGCAAGCCTTACTGATAACATAAAGAGTTGATTAACACAGATTTTGTACACTATGTTTATTGTATACAGTATTCTGACAATAAATAAGATACAGAAAAGAAAGTATTATTATGAAAATAGTAAGAAAGAGAAAATATACTTACTATTTATTGAGTAGAAGTGGATCATGATATAAAGGTCCTCATCCTCGTCATCTTCAGGTTGAGTAGGCAGAGAGTGATGAGGGTCTTGCTGTCTCAGGGGAGGCAGAGGCAGAGAAAGTCAGTGTGTAAGTGGACCCATGCAGTTCAAACTTGTATTTCTTGAGAGTCAACTGTTCTCTCTTCAGTGAATTTGCAATTCTACAGTAGAGAAAGCAATGACATTGAACCTTTGAAACCATCTCTGTGTTTAAGTGTTGGGTACCCAAGGCTAAGCTATTTTACTTTTCTGAGGCCTCAGGTTGTCCATTTATAAAACAATTAAAATAATGCCTCCCACAAAGGATCGTTGTAAGTAAATCAGTACAACAAACCCAACTCCTGGTTCACAGAAAGCATTTAAAAGTGGTTACTGTTAATTTCATTTATTTATGTTACACATTTCTCAGCCAGGCATTCAAGGGCTTCCAAAACACAGCCTCAATGTCTATTACTTGCCACAGAAACTATTTGCTTCTTCTTTGCCTCTGTGGTTTGGTTCCTACCTCTAATGCCTTCCCCATCAACCATCCGTCCTCATGTCAAACTTCAAATCCTGCTTCTCATTCCATATTCAACCCATTTGTTACCCTGTATTCCCTGTTAACTTATAGTTTTGGATGCTTAACTTGATTTAGTTTCAATTATTTAGGTAAAGATCCTCGATAGGTGGTAATACCTAGTTTCCTTCGTATCATATCAGAAGGCATATGATGTTTGATTGTCCCACTTTTAGTGACAACTAGATTTGGGGTTTGAGATGCTGTCAGACCGATCATTCCATCATGAAGATTTCCATTAACCTTTTAACTAACAGTTTAGCATACACTGATGACTTCCATTGATAATTCAGTGGTTGAAATATGCCATTTTCTAATTCCATCATTCTTTCTGCACGTATTAAAGGAGATTCTTCCATAAAGAAGAGCATGCACAAGTTAATTACTTGGTTACCTGAAACACAGCTTGCATAGGAACAGGAAATGGATGTTTGGTTCTTCCTCTATTAATTTTTAGAGTAAAGAGATTGGATCTAGAGAGCCCCAAATGGAGACCAAGGAGTATTTTTTTCTTGAGATTCTTACTAAACAAATGGAATCTTATATATTTTGTGTGTTATATGATTTGCAGTAATTATTATTGTTGATGCTCAGTTGTCCTATTGTAGGCCAATGGGAGGGAGCCCTTCCCATTTGGTTTCTGTTTTTTTGTTCTATGAGATCACTGGTCTAGATAAATTCCTTATTTCCTATTACAATAAGATGTCCCAGGTTTATCTTCCCATTTTTTGCCCTAGGCCTAATTAAGATCAGCTACTTCACCAAAATTGCTAGAATATTTTAGTGGAAATCATATTTAGAAAACGTAAGAATTCTCCTTGCTACTGGGCACTTTCTGTCAATAGAGTCAGGAAACAAAAGTTTTTTTAAGAGAAAAAAATGAATTTGTCATTCAAATTCAAGACTGAAGATTTTTATTTAATCTAGTTTACTTTATATAGGTATCTGTTTTCAATTTTCTCATGCTGAAAATCTCCTTCCTTAAATACATCAATGTAATTACTTATTCATTTTATCTTAAACATACCTATAATAGTTTTAAAGTAACAATATATGTACTACTAAAACTTGACACTTGAAATTTTTTAACCTGATGTGACTTTTTTCTGTGTTATTATCCAATGGTTGAGTTTATATTTGTTTTTAATTTTTTCTTTCCATTTATTTTTCTTTCTATTCATTTCTATTATTTTTTAAATAAATTTTTTAATTTATTAAATGTTTTCTATTTATTTTTTCTTATATAAAACATTTACATGGTTTCAATGTCAAAATTACAACACAAGTTTATACTGCAATCTGTCTCCTGCTTCCTTCCCTGATACGTAACCATTATATTGGAAGTTTTTAGTTACTCTGCAATTGTTTCTATTTGAAAATATAACAAATAACATGTTTACCTATATAACAAACCTTCACATGTACCCTCAAACATAAAATAAAAGTTTCAAAAGAAGAAAATATAACAAATACATGTGAGATGTGTGTGTATGCATGTATCTGCATGTTATTATGTATGTATACACATGTGTACACATATATGTATATATACACTTGTGTAGACATATATATGTATATATACACATGTGTAGACATATATGTATATATACACACATGCAGATACATACATACATATACACGTATTTTTGTATGTTCTTGTTTCCATATTTCCTCCTCTTTTATATAAAGGATAGCATATTCTTAATACTATTCTGCCCCTTGTCTTTTTTCAACTAATAGCATATCCCAGCAATCACTTCATATAAGTATGTAGAGATCAGCCTCCTTCATTTTTACAGCTGCATGGTACCCCGTTCTGCGATCATGTTACAGCCCAGTGGGTTCTTCTTGCTCACTTTCCAGAAAAGCCAATGCAATGACACTAGCAAGAGTGTTGCAGCAGAGAAAAGTGTTCATTTATTGCAGGGCTAGCCAAGCAGAAGGGTGGAAAATGTTTCTGAAACCTGCCTCTCTAAGAATTCAGAGGCTAGGGTTTTTCAAGGATAGTTTGGCAGGCAAAGAGCTAGGGAACGAGGACTACTGTGATTGGTTGGGCTAGGGAATAAAATCACAGGGGGTCAACATTGTCTTCTTCTCTGAGTCAGTTCCTGGGTGGGGAAAACAGGACTGGTTGAGTCAGTTTCTTGGTATGTGTTACTTGTCAGGGTGTACCAGCTGGTCCATCAGAATGCAAGGTCTGAAAAATACCTCAAACATGAGTCCTAGATTTTACCATAATGATATTATCTATAGGAACAACTGGGGAGGTTACAAATCTTGGGACCTCCAGCTACATGACTGCTTAACTGTAATTCTAACCTTGTAGCCAATTTGTTAGTTTCACAAACGTGGTGTTTGTCCCCAAGCAAGGCAAGGGTTATTTTCAGAAGGGACTATTATCATATTTTAAGGTTAAAATATAAACTAAATTCTTCTAATAGTTAGCTTGGCCTATGCCCAGGAATGAGTAAAGACAGCTTTTGAGATTAGAAGCAAGATGGAGTCAGCTACGTCAGATTTCTCACATTGTCATAATTTTTGCAAAGGTAGTTTCAATTACACCATGACTGAGTTAATCAGTTCCCTATTGGTTGTTTTGGTTGTTTCTTAAAAAAGAAAATAACTTTTATCTGAGAAATGCAGGTCCTTTTAAATTATCAGGCCCAGAGAGACATGAAAATGAGTCAGCAATCATGTCCTATTACCTTATTGAACCATGTATCCATCTCTTGAAACAGCTTGCTATTGCCACAACTTAATAATGCCATACCAGAGACTATACCACACACCCTATAACCTAATAATATATGTAGTCAATCACTAAGCGATGTTATTTCTCTAAACCAATAAGAATTCCTAACAAACAACTTTGTATCAACCCATTTTCTCTCTCTTTGTTTTTAACTTTTAAAAGCTTGGTTGTAACGAAGGAGAAATAAAGTTCATATCCAAGATTATCGGCTCTGAGTTTTCTGGGCAGCTGTCTTTGCTTTGGCTTAAGTAAACTCTTTGAATTATATTTTGTGCCTCAGCCTTTTTCTTTTAGGTCAATGTGGGGCCCATAGGCTCTGGCTCTCCTAAAGGTTTGCTGAGAAATCATTGAAGCAAGGCAGATTGATTAACAGGAAAAAAGCCATACATATTTATTTAATGTTCATACATGGGAGGCTTTATTCTGAAGACCCAACTTCCCAATGAGGCACAGAAGCCTCTATACAACCTTGAGTTTATAGAAAGAATGGGGACCTGGATCCTGATAAAGTGTGTTGTGGGACAGGAAGAAGAAGAATTCTATGGAAGGTTAATAAATTGCTAGGGAGAAAGATTGGATCCAGGAACAGACATGAACTTGTAAGTAGTTTTCTTTAGAATTTAAATAACCCTCGGAGACAGTCAGATGCTCATAAAAGAATCTACACAGGCGTGGTCACATCTTGCTTTTTTCTGCAATAGACAATTAGATAATAGGGAGGGGAAGAAAAAACAGTTGTTCTCCTTGGTGAGTCTGGATCTTACACAGATAAAGGAACTTCAGCTTCTTTCAGAGAAATGGTGGGGGACTGGAGGAAGGTTATAGAGACTTTGGGGTTTCTTCAGTTCAGCATGTCAAAATGTTACTGGTGACAGGTATCCGAGTTACCAGCTGTGGATCTGCATGAGTCTGCAGCAACCTCAGTTCTTGTCTCCTGAGAAGAAAGAATTCGACTGAAGAAAAAGAGACCATGGCAAGTTTCAGATGAGGAGTGGAGATGTATTTTAAAAGGCTTTAGAACAGGAAAGAAAGGAAAAGAACATACTCTTGGAAGAGACCCAAGGGGGCAACTTGAAGAACAAGTGCAATGTTTAACCTTGATCCTAGCACTTTATAGGCTGGCCCCTTTCCTATGATTCTTCCCTTAGGGTGGGCTGCAAGCATGCACAGTGCCCTCTTACAACTGGGAAGTGAGTACCTGCAGCATGTCTAGGAAATGGTACACCTGCCCATCTGAGGCTTTCTTCCCTTTTCCAGTGGGGTGTCCCCAGAAGGTCATACTCCACCATTTTGTCTCTTAATGCACATGGTCAGGAAGTTGCTTCTCCCTGGCATCTGCAATCGATTAACATTTTACTGCAGCAGGCGTGGACCACCAGGAAATGGCCTCTCCATGGTGCTGGCTGCCAATTTATCACTTTTAGAAAGGCAATGTGATCATTGCTAAACCATCACCTGACATTGCTAGTGAGTTGGGGAGATGCCTCTCCTGCCCCGTTCATGCCTGCCTACCTGAAAAAAACCACCATATTGTGGAGTATTGGTTTCTGAGCCCCAACCTGACATGTCCAATTTTTTGATATTACAAATAGAGCTTCAATGAATAGTCTTGTGCACACTTCAAGTCTTTTTTTTAACCAGTGTATATTTGAGATATATACCTAAAGTGAAATTGTTGTGTCAAAGGGTAAATGTGGCTCACGCCTGTAATCCCAGCACTTTGGGGGCCAAGGCAGGCGGATTACGAGGTCAGGAGTTTGAGACCAGCCTGGTCAACATAGTGAAACCCTGTCTCTACTAAAAATACAAAAAATTAGTTGGGCATTGTGGCAGGCACCTGTAATCTCAGCTACTTGGGAGGCTGAAGCAGGAGAACTGCTTGAGCCTGGGAGGCGGAGGTTGCAGTGAGCAGAGATCACACCACTGTACTCCAGCCCCGGGTAACAGCGTCTCAAAAAAAAAAGGGGTAAATGCATAAGCAATTTGGCTGGATATTACCAAGCACTACATCACAGAGTTGTATCACTTTTTATTCTCAACAGTGTAGGGGAAGAAAAATTAATTTTTTCCCTGCCTTTTCTGCAATCTTGTTTGGAAGTTATCCCTATAGCAAAAGTCAGATTAACAAGAGAAAAACAAACAGAAATGTATTAACATGCTTACCTCATGAGTGCATGAAAGATACCCAAGTGTATTAGTTAGGGTTCTCTAGAAGGACAGAACTATAGGATATATACACACACACACACACACACACACACACACACTTATAAAGGGGGGTTTATTGAGTATGAACTCACACTATCACAAGGCCCCACAATAGGCCATCTGCAAGCTAAGGAGCAAAGAAAGACAGTCCAAGTCCCAAAACTGAAGAACTTGGAGTCCAATGTTCGAGGGCAGGAAGGGTCCAGCACGGGAGAAAGATGTAGGCTGGGAGGCTAGGCCAGTCTATTCTTTTCACATTTTTTCTGCCTGCTTTATATTCTAGCCACGCTGGCAGCTGATGAGATGGTGCACACCCAGATTAAGGGTGGGTCTGCCTTTCCCAGCCCACTGACTCAAATGTTAAAAAACGTTAATCTCCTTTGGCAACACCCTCACAGACACACCCAGGGTCAGTACTTTGCATCCTTCAATCCATTCAAGCTGACACTCAGTATTAACTGTCACAAGTCCACCCCTTGTCAGCTTGAACCCATAAACATCTCCTGAGATCATGCATAATCTTCAAATAAAGACAATAATAAGGTCATAATTATGACCATAATACAACTATCCTTCATACAACTGGAAATCCACCAATCCTCAACCCAAATGCTATTACATAAAGTTACCAATACTTAAATGCTGATATGAAGTCGATAAATCATGTCATATGATAAAGGAAAAAGGAAATAAAATGAAGATATTTTCTTAGTACAAGTGTATACATGCACAGACATGTTTTTAACAAAAGAAGGAGGAAATACTCATGACAATTACAGTCCTCATTTCTGCAGCTGGTCCTGTGGTCATAGCTGGTATTGATGACAACTTTCTTCTACCACCCATTCTGTATTCCCTTTGCCTTCAGCAAGAACCTCAGCAGGTTGTGGTTTTTTTCCCTGGTAGAGTGACACAAACCTTCATTCCTGAAGGGTCTGGGCCATTTGTAGTCCTGCCTGGATTGGGCTGTTGTAGTTTTCCATTGACCTTAATCACAGGGCATGATAATACTAAGAGACGCCCTAATGTGTCTCCTGGTAGCAGCATTCCTCCCTCTGGAACTGAGACCTCTAGGCCAGCAGAATGTAATGTTGTGGGAACAGGAAGCAAAAATTTTGCAAGTGGAACACTGTGGGTGATGGTGAGTGGGGTCACTCCCACTTCCACCCCTTGATTCCTGGACCCGTGAATCCTGGCTATGGGAGAAACTGTACCATATGTTGGATGCTGATTGAGAGCATACACAGCCTTCTGGAGAACTTTGCCCCATCCCTGCAAAGTACTTGTCACCTAGTTGGAATCGTAATTGTGACTTCAAAGGGCCATTCCGTGGTTCTATGAATCCAGCTGCTTCTGGATAATGAGGAACATGGTAAGACCAGTGAATTCCATGAGCATGAGCCCACTGCTGCACTTCTTTAACTTTAAAGTGATTGCCTTGGTCAGAGGCAAGGCTGTATGGAATACCATGATGGTGGATAAGGCATTCCATGAGCCCACGGATGGTAGTCTTGGCAGAAGCACTGCATGCAGGATAGGCAAACCCATATCCAGAGTAAGTGTCTAGTCCAGTGAGGACAAACCTCTGCCTTTTGCATGATGGAAGAGGTCCAATATAATCAACCTGCCACCAGGTAGCTGGCTGATCACCCCGAGGAATGGTGCCATATGGAGGGCTCAGTGATGGTCTCTGCTGCTAGTGAATTGAGCCCTCAGCAGTGGCTGTAGCCAGGCCAGCCTTGGTGAGTGGAAGTCAGGCCAAGAGCTGTCTTTCAAAAGGAGAGTAGTTATCTGCGGAAGATGGTAGGGCCTTGCTCCAAAATACTAGAGGCCTCCACTGTGATTCACCTATGGGGGCCTGCCAGAGGCTGCAAACAGCATCCCTCTCTGCCACTGACACCTCAAGCAACATTGGATCTGCTGGGTCATATGACCCAAGTGGCAGAGCAGCTGTCACAGCAGCCTGGACCTATTGCAGAGCCTTCTCTGGTTCTGGAACCCACTCAAAACTGGCAGCCTTTTGTGTCACTTGATAAATGGGCCAGAGTAACACATCCAAATGGGGAATGTGTTGCCTGCAAAATCCAAATAGGCCCACTAGACATTGTGCCTCTTTCTTAGTTATAGGAGGAGCCAAATACAGCAACTTATCCTTCTCCTTAGAAAGAATATCTCAATGGGCCCCACACCACTGGACCTCTAGAAATTTTACTGAAGTAGATGTCCCCTGAATTCTAGTCAGATTTATTTCCCATCCTCTGGCATGGAAATATCTCAGCAATAAGTCCAGTGTGTTTGCTACTTCTTGCTCACTGGATCCAATCAGCATAATGTCATCAATGTAATGGACCAGTGTGATATCTTGTGGAAGTAAAAAGCGGTCAAGGTCTCCTTGAATAAGATTATGACACAAAGCCAGAGATTTGATATAACCCAAGGCAGGACAGTAAAGGTGTATTGCTGGCCTTGCCAGCTGAAGGAAAATTGCTTCTGGTGTGCCTTATGGACAGGAATGGAGAAAAAGGCATTTTCCAAGGCAGTGGCTGCACACCAGGTACAGGAGAATGTGTTAATTTGCTCAAGCAATGAAACCACATCTGTTACAGCAGCTGCAAGTGAAGTCACCACTTGGTTAAGCTTTCCATAATCCACTGTCATTCTCCAAGATCCATCTGTCTTCTGCACAGCTCGAATGGGAAAGTTGAACAGGGATGTGGTGGGAATCACCACCCCTGTGTCTCTTAAGTCCTTGATGGTGGCACTAATCTCTGCAATCCCTCCAGGGATGCAATATTGTTTTTGATTTACTATTTTTCTAGGTAGAGGCAGCTCTAATGGCTTCCATTTGGCCTTTCCCACCATACTAGCTCTCACCCTACAAGTCAGGGAGCCAATGTGGGGGTTCTGCCAGCTGCTAAATATGTCTGTGCCAATTATGCATTCTGGCATTGAGGAAACGACCACAGGATGCGTCCAGGGACCAACTGGACCTACGGAAGTCGGACCTGAGTGAAAACTCCATTAATTACCTGACCTCCATAAGCCCCTCCTTTAACTGGAGGACCACAATGACATTTTGGGTCCTCTGAAATCAACGTCAGTTCAGAGGCAGTGTCCAGTTGTCCCCAAGATATCTGATCATTTCCCTTTCCTCAGTGCAGTTACACTAGTAAAAGGTCAGAGATCTCCTTGGGGAAGGATGGGAGAAAGAGTAACAGCATCAATTGTCAGTAGTGTAGTAGGTCCTTCCTCAAGGGGACCTGGCCTCCCCTTCATTCAAGGGGTTCTGGGTTTGTAAACTGGGTCAAGTCTGGAAATTGATTGAGGGGTTGTTATTCTGTTTTTTTGCTGCTGTTGTTTGTTTTTTGTTTTTTTTTTTTTGAGACGGACTCTCGCTCTGTCGCCCAGGCTGGAGTGCAGTGGTGCGATCTCGGCTCACTGCAAGCTCCGCCTCCCGAATTCATGCAATTCTCCTGCCCCAGCTTCCCGAGTAGCTGGGACTACAGGTGCCTGCCACTATGCCTGGCTCATTTTTTTGTATTTTTAGTAGAGACAGGGTTTCACCGTGTTAGCCAGGATTGTCTCGATCTCCTGACCTTGTGATCCACCCTCCTTGGCCTCCCAAAGTGCTGGGATTACAGGCGTGAGCCACCGCACCCAGCCATTCTGTTTTTATTTATTTATTCTGTTTCAAATTATTATTCTATCCATTTGCCCTAGAAGTTTTCTGCTTATATAAATTAAGTAGGAATGCAGGAGGCTTCCTAGGAACACCTTGATTAATTAGCCAATGCCAGAGCTCTACATGAGTCAGACTACTCTGATTGCTGCTTTGCCTGTGCTGTCCATTATGGTAGCTACACTCACCTTGCCTTTGATGGTTGAGTGCTGCCACTTGGCCACTGCCACCTCAGGATCCAACTATTCCCATTGTATTTAAATTTTTTAGCTGAGCCACTATGGTTCCAACTGTTAGATCTGACATTCAGAGAAAAGCAATTACAAGGCTCTTCAAAGACACAGGTGCTGCCCTCACAAATCTATTTTGCAAGGCATTGGTCAAGGGTATAGCTTCTGGACCCTCCCAGCTGGGATGAGTAGGTCTAAAGTGACTAATCCAATTCACCATCCCAATATCCCTAAGGCTTTTGATCCCTTCCTATACATTAAATCAAGGGAAATCAGGCATTTCCAGCTTGCTCATAGTGGTCCATTTTTTAATCCATATTTCAGCTAACCAAACAAATGAACTGTTAGAACCTTTTTTAACTCCCTGAGCTGCAACATTAAATGCAGAGTCCCTACTTAGCGGTTCCAAATCAATAAATTCAGCCTGATTCAACTCTATGTTCCTTCCACCATTATCCCACACCCTTAATATCCATTCCCATGCCGGTTCTCCATATTTCTGTTTATATAAATTAGAAAACTCAAGCAGTTCTTTTTGAGTGTAGCACACCTCCTCATGGATCACACTCTCAACCTCACCTCTAGGGCCCACTGGGACTTCAATCTAGTTATAGGTTTAGAAGCAAACAGGGGTGTTGGGGGTGTCTCCTGAGGAGAGTCAACATTATTTTGCCTGGCAGTTGCCTCAGGGGAGGCCATCACTGTTGCCTTAGGCAGCACAGGGTTTATCTCCTCAGACAAAGGTGGAAAGGCTGATGGCAGCATGAGTCGGGTTGTAGAGGGGATGTTGCCACTACTGGGGATGGGGAAGCTGTTACTCCTGGCAAAAAAGTTTCACCAGAATTTACAAACTCAGTGTCCCCAGCTTCATCAGTGTCCTCCCATACATCCCCATTCCACGTTGCAGGGTCCCGTTCTTTTCCAACTGATGCCCTCACTTTAACAGTAGACACCTGGTGAGGCTGTGCATGTACCTTTGTCATTGCAAGTCAGCCACTTGCACGATAAAAGCTTGTGTCTGTTTTTCCACAATTTCAGCTGTTTCTCTACAGGAGATAAGACTGTCATTCAGGACAATCTTAGCAGATTTGAGGTTTAGTATCTGCTTCTGAAGCCAAGAGTTAGAATCCCTGAGCTTACCATTTTCTTCCATCACTTTTTCCACTGAACTGAGAAGCAACCAGCCAGCTTAATTATGTTCCTTGGTTCTCTATATATGGACAAAGGTATTACAGATAGAGTCACTAAACTCCTTGCCTCTCAAGAGTGGTGAGTCAGGAGTGTCAAATGCATTTATTTGGCATAACTCTCTAAACAGCTAACACCAAGGACTTTCAGTGTTCTCCATACTATTAGAAGTGGAGTCTTCAGCATTTTTTAGTCTAATCACATTAAACAGCCAACTCCAGAAACCTCAAAATCAACAAAAGAACTCCATCCTTAATATTGTGTTCCTCTAGAACCACTCCTGATACCAAAATCTGTTTTAGTTAGGGTTCTCTAGAGGGACAGAAGTAATAGTACACACACACACACACACACACACACACACACACATATATATACTCTGTAAAGAAGGTTAATATCTGTAAATAGATGTCAATATTAAATAGCAATAAATATTTAAATACTGTATACAAATTTTTGTTTGTTTGTTTTTTGTTTTTTGAGACAGGGTCTCGCTCTGTTGCCCAGGCTGGAGTGCAGTGGCATGATCTCAGCTCACTGCAACCTCTGCCTCCCAGGTTCAAGTGATTCTCCTGCCTCAGCCCCCTAAGTAGCTGAGATTACAGACATGTGCCATCACACCCAGATAATTTTTCTATTTTTGGTAGAGACGGGGTTTCTGATGTTGGCCAGGCTGGTCTCAAATTCCTGACCTCAGGTAATCCACCCGCCTGGGCCACCCAAAGTGCTGGGATTGTAAGCATGAGCCACTGCACCTGACCACCATATACAAATTTGAGCTAGACACTGTCAGAAAAACAGTTGACAGCTTGCTGAAAACATCCTTGTAATTTGGGATGGTTAATTTTGTGTGCCAATTTGTCTAGGCTATGGTGCCCTGCTGTTTGGTCATATATATATGTATATATATACATATGTATGTATGTGTGTGTATATAAGTGTGTGTGTGTATATATATATACACACACACATGTATGTGTAGATATGTATATACACACACACATACAGGAGAGTTTATAAAGTATTAACTCACACTATCACAAGTTCCCACAATAGGCCATCTGCAAGCTGAGGAGCAAAGAAAGATAGTCCAAGTCCCAAAACTGAAGAACTTGGGAGTTCCATGTTCAAGGACAGGAAGGGTCCAGCATGGGAGAAAGATGTAGGCTGGGAGGCTAGGCCAGCCTAGTCATTTTCACATTTTTCTGCCTGCTTTATATTCTAGCCATGCTGGCAGTTGATGAGATGGTGCCCACCCACATTAAGGATGGGTCTGCCTTTCCCAGCCCACTGACTCAAATGTTAAAAATGTTCATCTCCTTTGGCAACACCCTCACAGACACATCCAGGGTCAGTACTTTGCATCCTTCAATCCATTCAAGTTGACACTGAGTATTAACCATTACACTGGGGAAAATGAGTAAATCTCAAGGAGACAATTTTTGAGCTCAGACTAAAATGTAATCATCCCCTTAAACTAATTAAAGAGGAAGGGGGAGGCTGTTTATGGGGAGGTGACCAGGAAAAGTACAGTAGGCAAGGATAAGTTTGTTATGCAGATTTAATTCTGTGCATTCTTTATTGATAAGAAACTCTACTGAATTTTAAATCATCCTTCTCTTACTGATACAGACAAGGAGACACCCTTCCAAATGGAGATTTCTCTTATAAATCTAAATTTCCCTTACAAAAGGGTAACCTCACTTTTCAGAGCATTTCTGTCTTTGGTGTCTTTATATAATCTGCTCAAAATAATCCTTATGCCTAAAAGGCATATTTTGGAGTGTCGTATTCTGGTCTCCTATACCAGCAATGTATGAGAGTCCTGTTTTCCCACAACCAATGAGTATGATTGGGCAGTTCTTTCTTTTTTTTTTTTTTTTTTTTTTGCCATTCTGATGTGTGAGAAACACATCTTAATTTAGTTTTAATGTTATTTCTCTTATCTTAAGCAAAATTAAATATATTTTGCATTTCTTTTTATGTTAATCAATTTAATAACTTTTGCTCATTTCTTCTTGAGTTGTTGGCTTTTTTCTTCTTAATTTTATATACTTTTTATATTTTCTGTATTTTGCATTACGGTTCTCCAGAGAAACAGAAACAGAACCAATAGGACATATATATGCACATATATACACACATATGTATATATATGCACATATATACACATATGTATGTATGTATACATAAATATGGATATATATGTATATATATGTCCTATTTGTTTTCCCATATATTATATATGTGTATGTCTGATACAGAACAGCTGGGTTCCCAGCTTAACCGCACCCTTACGCCTGGAATCACAGCCCTAAGTGAAAACAGCTGACCCCATTTTTCTACCCAAATGTTACCTTTTTGGCCTGCCACACCCCTAACCTGTGCCCACAAAATATTCCAGCTGGCAGAGCAACACAAGCTGCTGAACAGCGGGAATACAAGTTGTTGAATGTTGGGAATACAAGCGGCTGAGCGTCGGAGACTAGGGATGGAGCTAACTTCAGACGGTGCGACTTCAGGGAAAATTACCTTTTCCCCCGCACCATCCCCTTTCTTACTCCCATCCCGCCGAGAATTATCACCCAATAAAATCCTCCGCATACACTCCCTTCAATCCGTTCCTGTGACCTGATTCTTCCTGGACGCCAGACAAGAATCTGGGTGTTGAAAGAGCAGGGGCCTGGACATTGCTGCGGGGCCTGCACAGAGGCAGCTCTTGCCAGAGAGGAGCAACCAGCTGGTTCCAGCGCTCATTCGCTCTGGTTCCCGCACTCACCTGCTCGCACGCTCCCTCTCACATGGAGTTGCCAGTGGCAGACTAAGTAAAATGAGCCACTCCAGTTGCTTGCCTATGAAGAGGATCAAGGTCAAGGGAATAACCCTGTATCATGTTCACCAGAAAAGCATGTGTGCGTTTGTGTGTGTGTGTGTGTGTGTGTGTGCATGTGTACATATCTCATGTGTACATGAAAGATACTCAGGGAAAATGAGTATACATTTACAATTATGACAATTATGGTAGCTTGTAAGTTATAGGTCTAAAATTTGTAGAGCAGGTTAGCATCCTGAAGATTCAGGAAGGAATTGATGTTACAGTCTCAAGTCTAAAATTCACAGGTTGGAAACAGTCAGTGTTTCTATGCTGCAGTCTTGAGGCAGAATTGCTTCTTGTTCAGGAAACCTCAATCTTTACTCTTAGGACTTTCAAACAGTTAGATGGGCCCCAGTCACTTTATGGAAGCTAATCTGCTGCTTTACTCAGTCTATTGATTTTTAAAAAGTTAATCACATCTAAAAATTTCCTTCAAGGAAACGTAGAGACTGGTATATGACCAAACAGCAGGGCACCATAGCCTAGACAAATTGACACACAAAATTAACCATCCCAAATTACAAGGATGTTTCCAGCAAGCTGTCAACTGTTTTTCTGACAGTGTCTAGCTCAAATTTGTATATGGTGGTCAGGTGCAGTGGCTCACACTTGTAATCCCAGCACCTTGGGTGGCCCAGGCGGGTGGATTACCTGAGGTCAGGAATTCGAGATCAGCCTGGCCAACATGAGAAACCCCGTCTCTACTAAAAATACAAAAATTATCCGGGCATGGTGGCACGTGTCTGTAATCCCAACTACTCGGGGGCTAAGGCAGGAGAATCACTTGAACCTGGGAGGCAGAGGTTGCAGTGAGCCGATATCACGCCACTGCACTCCAGCCTGGGTGACAGAGCAAGACCCTGTCTCAAAATAAATAATAATAAATAATAAATAAATTTGTATACAGTAAATATTTATTACTATTTAATATTGACATCTATTTACAGATATTAAACTTCTTTACAGAGCCTAGGATGCCCACTAAGAGCTGTTAAAGCTTTATTAGAGTTTTATACAATTCAATTACAATATTATTTGTTAAATATTAATAATTTGTTTAATGATTGTATGAAGGTTATTAATAAATAATACTTTGCATGAATTTTATAATCATAGGACTGAGGTAAATGAATACTTTTTACATAATCACAGAAACATTGCATTTCTCTAACAAATATCTGCCACAATGGAACAGGGAACACTCTTTTAATTCTCAGATCAGTAAATATGTGGTCCTTCTATGATAAGTCAAAACATTTGAAAATCAAAGAAAGAATTCCCACAAAATAATTTTTCACCTCAGGACCAGACCCAGGCACCTTTTTCTTTCTGAGAATCTTTTTTTTTCTTATTTAATTATATCTTGCATCTGATCACCACTATCATCTTAAATACCTTGCCTCCTGGTCACAGTGATTGGTTCTGATCAAGACATGACAAGTGGTGTCTTATCCTGGAACTTTTAACTTGGGAAATGAGAAAATCAGTTTCAGTCTCTCACTCCTTTGAGTGATGTGATCATCTGAATTTATGTTTCCTAGCATATGTTAGTTGTTCAGCTGTGAATAATGCCTACTGAAGGAGGAAAGCAAGCCACTAGGCTGAAGTGGCAACCTGGCTATATTTCAGGCCCTGGTTCCACCTGTTCTCAATACCCAGGCTTCCCATTATACTTTTGTTAAGCTCCTGTTTGTTTAGTTTTGTTTTGTTTGAGACAGAGTCTCGCTCTGTCACCCAGGCTGGAGGGCAGTGACACAATCTCGGCTCACCGCAACCTCCATCTCCTGGGTTCCAGTGATTCTCGTGCCTCAGCCTCCTGAGTAGCGGAGATTACAGGCACCCGGAACTACAACCAGTTAATTTTTCTATTTTTAGTAGAAACAGGGTTTCACCATGTTGGCCAGGCTGGTCTCGAACTCCTGACCTCAAGTGATCCACCCACCTCAGCTTCCCAATGTGCTGGGATTACAGGCGTGAACCATTGTGCCTGGCCTAAGCTCTCTTTTGGATAAGTTACTAAGATTTCAGTTTCTACAGAGAGTCGACATACACTTGTGCACAGTTTTACACATCATTTTAGGGAACTCATGGACTTCCTGAAGAAGTTCATGTTTGAATTCTTATCCATAGATCTCAGATATGAACCTCTGTTTGAAGCTATCCTGTGAACATTAGTTTCCATATGTTCTTTATCCAGGAAAAAAAAATTATTATAAACTCTTTAACTTGGTAGTTTTCATGCACTTGATCACTTTCAATCCTTATAACCACAATTAAGTCAAGTATATGTCATCCTTGTTTTATATTTAAAGACACAGGGCTGTGAAAGGTAAATAATATTTTATTAGCCAGTACATCTAAACTAAACCTGATATTTTTGTATAAAATCTGGATTTCTTCCTCCTACACTAAGTAATCACCCAGCTGGATTCTTCTTGCCTGCTGCACAGATAAAGTCAATTCATTAAGACAGTGGCGTTGGAGCAGAGAAAGAGTTTAATAACTGCAGGACCAGACAAGCAATAGGACAGGATACATTTCTCAAATCCACCTCCCTGAAAACTCAGAGACTAGGGTTTTTAAGGATAATTCGGTGGGCAGAAGGCTAGGGAATAGGTGCTGTTAATTGGTTGGGGATGAAATTACAGGAATGTTCATATTATTTTGGCACGCTGACTCTATTTCTAGATAAGGGTTACAGGACTGGTTGAACCGGTTCCTTGGTATGACTTACTGGTCTGAGTAGAGTCAGTCGGTTGCCAGAATGCAAAAGTCTGAAAAATATCTCAAAGACCAATCTTAGGTTGTGACAATAGTGATGTTATCTATCTGAACAATAGGGGAAGTTGCAAATCATATGACCTCTGATGTAGCAAACAATTATAGAAAGGCAAGCTAGGGAACAATGGCTGGTTATCATTGAACTATGCATACATCTTAGCAGAATTCAGGCCCCTCCCATAACCCTAACCTCATGGCCTTTTATAAGTCTTACAAAGTTGGTTTTGGTCCCCAAGCAAGGAGGGGGTTAGTTTTGGGAAGGGACTGTTATCCTCTTTGTTTTAAAGTTAACAAATGCAGTTAGCTTGTCAGGTTAGAAGCAAGAATCTAAATCAGTTTGGATTTGCCTCACTGTTATAATTTTGCAAAGACAGTTTCAACTAAAGTTGCTTCTAAGCATTACTGAATATGTTGATTGTCTTTAATTACTATTTTAAGTTACAACTTTGAAATTTGCTTTTGAAAGAATAAATATAATTCAACTGTAAAAGAAAATATTCGGTACTGGCAAATAAAAATGTAATAATAGAAACATATATAAAATATAATTTTAAAAGAAGTTTCAGCTTGCTTATTTGCATATCATCTCACTCCAATTTTTAAATAAATATGCTGTGATTAATAGCAATAACCTTCTAAAGTACTCTGAAATCAGAAAATCCTTAGGAGAAAAGAGCCATAGTAATAAAAGTGTCATTATAAATAATTAGATATGCTTGTCACACATCCACCTTCAAAGGTTTCTACAAAGTGATTGACATGTAAGCCACCTGGATTAATCTTCCAGCTTCAATTTAGTTTCTACAAGAATCTAGTTATCCTTTGGAGAGTGAAACTCTCAGAAGAAAACCAGGAGAACAAAGCCCGTGACTGTTTGGGAGGGCTCAGGTTTTCCTAAACACAAGCACATGAATTGGTCTTTGCAAGTTTGCATTTCAGAAATAATTGAGACAGCAGGGGAAATCATGCTCCACATTATCTCCAAGTGGAACAGCCTGCTATTCAGAGTTCTTCTCTGGCCAGGCAGAGGAATAATTCTACAACAGAGGTACCCAAGAACATGCTCAGCCTCCACAGGCTACATGCTTCCCCTATCTATTCCCAGCCCCATCTCTGGAGAAACAGATCTTCCTTTTGATCAGGCAATATTCACAAATGACAGTGACAAATCAGGAAATTTTAAAGGAAGGGCTGAGTAAATAAAGACAACAGGAGAACTTTAGCTGTGGCTTTATAGTAACCGCTGTCCTAGATTTTGTCCTCTCTGTGGACTGATTGCACAGCATCTACCTTCACTTGGCTTACAAAAGGCTTCTGTGCTCCTTAGTGGCTGGAATACATGCTCTCGCTGTTCTCAATGGAGCTTCCAGGTTACTCAGCAGCTCTGTGATTTACAAGGCCCCCTGGGTGCCCTGGATCTGGTTAACTCCCAATTCCTTTACTCCAGGAATGAATATTTTCTGTGCTAACAGATAGAACAACTTGCCAGCTTAAAATTAGCTCCTCTTGAGTATAATGCATTGTGGTGTGACAACACCCAGCCAGCCCTGACTCCCCTGCTTCTCTCAGGCTTCTAAGCAGCTGGTTGGCTGAGCAGCCAGGCAGAAGGCCCATCTTCTCATCCCATTGTAATCTCTCACCAGGCCTAATCAGGTGCTTTGAGCCCAGTGGGTGCCAGGAAACGTTCTTGTTTGTCAAGCTGCCTACGTTCTTACACAAGGTGGGAACATAGTGTGGCCCCTTCCTCCCCAGGGAGGCTCCATTCTTCCCATGTCCCACTACCACACACAGAGACACAACTGGAGAAGTGTCCACTGTCGCTTGCTCACCATTTGCCTTTCTCTATGACAGAGCTAGTTGAGGACAGAATCTAGCAATTAAAAAAAAAGGTAGCAATTTAAAAAAATAGGAAAATGTGCAAAAAGTTCAGAGTAAGAGTTTTTAATAGAAGGTGTATCCAGAAGACAGATGAAGCAAGTCTGTATGTGTAAAAGTTTTCTGAGTATTGCAAAGTATTGAGCATCAAGCATGTGCTAGACATTTTCTATTACGCATTCAATTAAGCTTCAATAATTCTTTCTACCAGTGTGCTTTACTATCTCCATTTCACAGTTGAGACAACTGAGGCTAAACTGATGTAGGTCCCATGACAATAAGGGCCATAATGTACTGTAAAACCCATGCCCATACTCCCAAGGTTATTCTGCCTCTTTGAAGGACTAGTAAAGGACTCACATTAGTATTCACTTACAATCTCATGAAACACCTGGGTGGGAGATAGAATATGAAGGAATTGTGGGAAGAGATTAAAAGCCATGCAATAGCTTAAATCCAGAATGACTGGAAAACATCCTGGAAGAAATTCTGCAAAACAAATTTAAGAATATAATTGGCTTTAAAGATAAACATAAAAATTAGGACATTTTGGGTATGCAGTGATAATGACTCGACTTTGCAGGGCTGTGTAAGCATATAAAATTGCTGGAAATGGTGTAGTCAGGGAGTGATTACATTTGTATCCATCTAGGACCATATTCTGAATTGGCTGACAGCATTGGTTCACCCACTTTATTTGGGTTTCCTCATTCCTCCAGAGAAATGGTCAGCTGACTGTGGGCAATAAAGCATCACTATCTGCTAACAGCACATTCCAGGGAACACTTGTGTGGCAGTCAACAGCAACTGCTGCTTGGAAAGAGATAACATGTTTCCATCAATCACTCAGAGGAGGAAATGATGTCTGGGGCTACAGCCCACTTATTCAAGTGTGGCATCCTCTTGTCTAGAGTGAAGACTCTCATAGTGGAGGTTTAGAAGGAAATGGCAAAAGTATTGACATTTGTTAATCACCTATTACTTCCTAGACACATTGCATTAATTACTTACAGCAATCCTATGAGGTAAATATTACTGTCCCATTTTACAGATAAAGAAATGGACATTCAGGGAGGTTAGGTAAGTTAGCCAAACTCTTGTTGTGGTCAGTAAGTGGCTTTCAAACCCATGCTGGTCTAATTCCAAGATCAGCTCCTTTCAGTATACTATAGCTGACTCATTAGGCATAAATGTTAATATCTAATTATATAATACTTTGGAGCCAGACACAGTAGTATTAGTAGTAAAAAGAGAAGGACAAGAAGGATGAGGAGGATAATAAGGACTAGGATGAGGAGGAGCAGCAGCAGCAGGCATTTTTGTGAGATTTCCATGTGCTAGGCACTTTATAAAGATTGGCTCATTTAATAATCAATACAACAAAATGAGGTAAATATTTGTACTCTGATTCAAGATGTGAAAAACTTTGTCCTTCTTTTCCTTGGGACTAGAGAGAGAGAGAGAGAAAGAGAGAGAGAGTGTGTGTGTGTTTCAGGTAGGAGGAATACTGATGACTGCTTGGACAGTCGTCTGGTGTTGATAGTGATGAAATAAATCTTACGAGCTCTGGTCTCCATCTTTGAAACTAAACAACAGGAGGGCATATTTTTAACGAAAATTTGGGATGACAGTGAAGCCATGGATCTTTTTCAACTTGGCGTATCTTGCTTGAGCATTTTTCCACTCCATTGGGTAGAGCCATCATATGGGACATTGATAGCCAGTTGAGTCTACACGCATCATGGTCCTGATCATTTTCTCCTACATAGTGAGCTACATCCATTAATCTAAGAATATTATTTATTACTACAGACTATTTCTTATTTATTACTATAGATTATTATTTAGTTATATTAGTCTTATGTATATACTTTAAAGTGCATATATTCTTGAGGGCCATTTTGCAAATAAACAGTACTCATGCAGGATATCCCTATAAGTATTGGTATGGACAAGTATATATTACAAAACCCAGGGAAATATGTGAAGCTATTACCTAGTTTTGAAGAGGAAAGAGAGTCCCGTCAATGGAGATTCTCTCTCCTCCGTTCCTATCACAGCTCAGCTCATCCCCCATAGTGACAGTATTACATCCTGTATGTATTAAACAGTTAGGGTCCTGGCTTTCTTTCTCTTTCAGGTGTGTAACACTAATTAGATATCACTCTCCTTAGGTCACTGTGTATTTCTCAACTAATTTAGCATTAGATTTGCATTCAGTTATGTCCATTGTTACCAGTTGAAAACTCTACCGCAGGTCCTATACTGAACTTACACATATCTGTCACTTTTGCCCTAACTCTGGCAGTTGCCTTGTGCTCAGAGATGGGAACGTTCCTGAAGGGAAAAACCCAGTGCCCCTCTGAGACTCATCCAGGCGATTGATTTTTACTTTCATTCTCAATTTGCCCTCAAAACACAGATGCTGTGCTTAAAAGACTAATTGATCATCTTATTTCAATTGCACAGAAATGATGTTGAAAAAGTGAGCAGACCTTGGGCCATTAGAGCTCAATACTGGGGGAAAGGCCATTGAGTTATTAATTAAAATTAGAAACTGAAATCCCCACTGTTTTCAATTGTCATGGTAATAAAGAAAAATGTACACCCAAGTGGTACTGTATTGATCACTAAATTCATTCATATGAAACTATGCCTAGTGCAATGTGTATAATATTAGCAATGTCAACTGCAGTGGAAATCTGCTGGTTCTAATAGCTAATAATTTATATGTATTTTTCCTTTACCACAAGCCATAAGTGAAATATGATAGTCTTTACAGGCAATAGATCTGATTCCCTTTTCTACCACGTACTTTACATGAAACCATATACTGTTGTTATCATTTGTGTAAGTTAACAACTTCTTCCACAATGTTCTTTATAGTTTACAAATAAAATGCCATTTGGGTCATTAGCAGTGAAGACAGATAAGAAAATCCAAACTACTTAGACTTTTTGCCTAAGGCAAAATTCAAGACTTCCATGGTTGTTACCACATCGTTTCTAAATTTAATTGCTAATTCCAATCAACATTCAGTCAGTTCCAATTATGTGTCTTGCACTGTGCTCAGCATTATAGTTGAATCAAAATTAAGAC
This sequence comes from Homo sapiens, assembly GCF_000001405.40. Taxonomy (NCBI): domain Eukaryota; kingdom Metazoa; phylum Chordata; class Mammalia; order Primates; family Hominidae; genus Homo; species Homo sapiens. The sequence continues at coordinate 105,616,806 of NC_000003.12, forward strand.
AAGGGACTGGCCCTCAAGGAGAATAGATAGAAACAGACGTGAAAACTGAGTATAATAAAAGGCCAGCCAGGATAAATAATACAGCACTGGTAGGACGTTGTCAGAATGCAGAGGGAGAAGGAATTATTTTAGACTACAGGGTGCCGACAGGATTCATGGAAAAAGTGATGGAGTCTGGAGAAGAAATGAAAAGAACTTTAATATATGAAAAAGCAGATGTTGAAGTCTCCCAGCTAAGGGAATAAGACACAACAGGGCATAGAAATTCAACTGTATTCAGGGAATGGGTTGGGGTTTCTAGGTCTCTGGACCAAGTGGCAAGGAGACGTGACTAGGAGATGAATCTGGAGAATGAGGTTTGGTAAACTTTGAATGATTTTAGGTGCTGTGATAGAATGCAAAAGCAGTCAGAAATTATTCTCATCCCTTTATACACACAACCTCCCCATCCCCTTTTCAAATAGACTTTATTTTTTCTAAAAACATTTTAGATTTATAAAAAATTGTGCAGAAAGTACAGAGATTTATCAGGTACTCCTTCTCCTCCCCCTACACTCTGAAAACACATGGTTTCTCCTATTATGATTTTGTATTAGTGTCATACAATTATCACAACTCATGAACCAATATTGGCACATTATTACTAACTATACTCCATAGTTTGCATTAAGGCTCATGCTGTGTCATACATCCTATGGGTGTTGATAAATGTATAATATCATGTGTCCAACATCAAAGTATCATAAGGAACAGTTTCACTGCCCTAAAAATTCCCTGTGTTTCACCTATTCATCCCTCCCTCCTTCCCTCAAACCACTGGCCTTCGTTCATCTTTTACTGTCTTATAGTTTTGTCTTTTCAAGAATGTGACATAATCGGCCTGGTGCAGTGGCTCATGCCTGTAATTCCAGCACTTTGGGAGGCCAAGGCGGGCGGATCATGAGGTCAGGAGATCAAGACCATCCTGGCCAACATGGTGAAACCCCGTCTCTACTAAATATACAAAAAAATTAACCGGGTGTGGTGGTGCGCCTGTAATCCCAGCTATCTGGGAGGCTGAGGCAGGAGAATCGCTTGAACCTGGGAGGCAGAGATTGCAGTGAGCCGAGATTGCGCCATTGCACTCCAGCCTGGCAACGGAGCGAGACTCTGTCTCAAAAAAAAAAAAAAAAAAAGAATCTGATATAGTCGAAATCACACAACATATGAGGCCTTTTCAGATTGGCTTATTTTACTTAGTGAAATGCATTTAAGAGTCTTCCACGTCGACCGGGCACAGTGGCTCACGCCTAAAATCCCAGCACTTTGGGAGGCCGAGGCAGTGGGATTACTTGAGGCCAGGCATTTGAGATCAGCCTTGCCAGAATGGTAAAACCCTGTCTCTACTAAAAATACAAAAATTAGCCAGTCGTGGTGGCATACGCCTGTAATCCCAGCTACTCGGGAGGCTGAGGCACAAGAATCTCTTGAACCCCAGACGAGGAAGTTGCAGTAAGCCAAGATTGCGCCACTACACTCCAGCCTGGGTGACAGAGTAAGACTCCATCTCAAAAAAAAAAAAAAAAAAAAGTCCTCCATGTCTTTTCATGGTGTGATAGCTCATTTCTTTTTATTGTTAAATACTATTCCATTGCCTGGATGTATCAGTTTGTTTATATATCCATCTATTGAGGAATATCTTGGTTGCTTCAAATTTTTGGTAATTATGAATAAAACTCCTATCAGTGTTCATGCACACCTCTTTTTAATGTGACTTTGCAGCTCTCCTCAGCAACATACGATATCTCTTTCTCTACCCCTTGAAGCCAGGCTTCCCCATTTGATTAGTTTGGGCCTATGGCTCACTAGGAAGCACGAAGAATGGACACTGGGTCTTTGCGTGCTTGCTGCTCTTGGAACCCTGCCACCACTGTGCAAAGAAGCCTGGGCTAATATGCTGGATGATGAGGCACAAGACCGAACTATTGCTGGTAGTCCTGGCTGACAGCCAATGAGACCACCCTGAGTTATTCAGCCACAGACTGATCTGCCAGTCAACTTTAAACACATGAAAGACTGATAGAAATCAGCAAAGCAGGCTCAGACCAGAAGAACCACCCAGCTGACCCAAGATTCTCTCATCTAAACAAATGATTGTTATTTTAAATCGCTAAGTTTTGGGGTAGGTGGTTATCCAGTGAAAGCTAACATACCAATGCTGTACTAAATATGAAGTGGTCTGTATTTTATGATGAGACGTCAGAAACTGGAAACAAGAAGTTTAGAAGGCTATTGTCCTTAATCTATCGAACAGATCATGAGGATAAAAACTTTTGGATGATTATTAGATAAATTGGGTTTTGCATGTATTGTAGCAGAGAAAACTGTAAAAAAGAATATCCATTTCTTCATGGAGTTTAAAATAATACATCATTCCTAAATTTAAAAATCAATAAATATCAATATGAACTATATAAATATCAATCTCATTTTATTCAAGAATAAACATAGACCTATGATAAGGACATTTCCACGGTATTTCTGTAATCATACTGAACAATTTTTTGAATACTGTGGACTCCCTGCAATAGAGGATTTCTGCCTCTGGAAATAAATGCTTCAAGGCAAGCACAAGCCATTATCTATCAAAGTGCAGACACAAAAAGCTTGAAATACCTACTATCCTTTATCCTAGATGCCAACCTTGGACTGGAATCAGGGGATCAGAGTTGGAAAAGTAGTATAAAGAGGTTTGTATTTCAATTTTTTTTTTTTTTTTGAGACAGGGCCTCACTGTGTTGGCCAGGCTGGAATGCAGTGGCAACCATTATAGCTCACTGCAGCCTTGAACTCTTGGGCTCAAGTGATCCTTCGGCCTCAGACTTCTGAGTAACTGGAGATACAGGCATGCACCACCAAACCCAGCTAATGTTTACATTTTTTGTAGAGATGAGGTCTCACTATTTTCCTGAGGCTGATTCAGAAATTCTGGCCTCACGAGATTCTCCCACTTTGGCCTCCCTAAGTGCTGGGATAACAGGTGTGAGCCACCATGCCCAGCTGTAAAAAGAGATTTATTATTAGAAACTCAGCAGACACTTTGGGCAGGGACAGACCATTGGGGGCACAATCAGTCACAGGAAGAGGGAGACTAATAAGGCAAGTGGAACATGTAGCAGGAGAGTATAGTGAAAGACAGCAGTTGACAAATTCATGTTCTAGAAATGTGGCTTTTGAATGCCCAGTAAGAGCAATTGTATTTTGGCAAGTGGACTGAGCCTGGCTACAGAGAAATCTGTAGACATCTAAGAGGAGGATAAATAAAATCGTGTTGGTAATAAGGTGACCTAATTAAAGAAAACTCACTCACTGGCCACTGGATTAGATCTTGGAAATAAGAGAGTAGCTTAATACTAATTTCCATGCTATCAGGAATGTCCTTCCTCCATGTAGGTACAGGGGTCACTCTCAATTAAGTAGCTACTCAGATGTCACCTATCACAAAGACCTTCTTTGACTCTAGATTCTAAAAGGCCCCCCACCTCCCATGGACATGCTTCTTGTCTCATAACTTGCTATAGTTTTCCTTACACTTATCGCTTCTGGTATTTTTTTTATATAATTTGTTTATTTTCTGTGGTGCATTGTCCCCACAAGAATGCAAGATCCATGACAACAGTGGCATGATTCTCTGGTGCCTCTCAGGGCCCAGTAAAGGCCCCGGCCTTAGGCCCTTAGTAAATATTTTAGAAGTATCAAGCAAACTGAAGAATGGTAAGTTAATGAATAAATATCAGAGCAGGACAAGGTGTAGGACCCTGTCCTACCTCAGTCTGGAGTGGCTCAGGTCCTAGGGTTCTTGCAAGCCCACATATAGGCAGCACCTATAGACTTATCTATAAAATCTAAGGCACAGAGAATCAGGGGCTGGTAAGGCAATTGACAGATGGTGATAATAAAAATTTTGTTCACTAATTTTGTTGATTCTGTTGATAGTAAGACATATCATTAAGAGGTGTGTGTGAAGAGGTATACATCAGGACTGATGAAATGTAGTATATCAATTTCATAACAATTCTCTTGTTTAATTATTATTGACCTGAAGCTGAAGATGGAGAAAAATAATTCAGATTAAAGTCAGGTACTCAACTGTGGCTGAGATTGCCATTTTCCTATGCAATATCCATTTTCTCTTCCTTCTTAATGACAAATCCCTGAGTTTTACCTTGAGCACACGTCCTCTCAGAATTAAAGACTATTGTTTCCCAGATTTTCCAGCAGCCATTATAGTGAAGTGTGGAGGTGTGGTCATGTGACTAAGTTGTGACCAAATGAGACATAGATGGAAGTGCCGTGGCATCTTCAGAGAACGTTGCTTAAAAAGAGCTGACTCAGTTGGGGAGGACTTATTTTTACCAGTGTTCTGCAATTCTTCATGTAACTCTCAACTTGGAGATGATGGTGGGAGACCCTGGAATTGCAGCAGCTCTCTTGGGACATAAAATGATATTGAGAATGGCAGCCATGCACTAAGATGGTGAGGCACAAAGGTAGGAGCTTGGTCCCTGATAGCGCCATAGTGTCACCAGAGCAGCTCAGTGCTGCCCAGCTCAGAATACGGGCGTAAGTAAAAGGCGACTTCTATCCTGTTGCTGTTGTTGTTACATGCAGTTGAACCTAATTCTAACTAATATACCTGGCTTCCAGAATTACAATAGGTTATTAATTTTAAAAATACTGGATTTATGTTCAGAAAATATGAGTTCCTGTTGCCAGTTTCCCTGAAAACTGTTATCACTTACAATGGGCAAAGTGATTTTAATCTTTCTGGGAATCTGTTTCATCGTTTTAAAATTTGAGAAAATAATGTGTATGTATAATGTTGCTCTGAGAAGGAAATGTAAAGCTACATATGAAAAGTATGTTATACACTTTAAAGTACTAATAATTGTAAATTTGGGGGTGTGTGGGGCCTTTACAAAAAATAGTTTAATTCTTGTTTCCGCTGGTCTGCTTAGAAATTCTGACAAAGAAATCAACCTGTGTCTCATCATACAACTTAATTGATAATTATGGACCAGTTACTATGTGTGGAGCTGTATTGGGTGCTCTAGTATAAATAATAAATAAATGATGACACCAGCTACCAATCACCTCTAAATTAAATACAAGGGAAAAATTTTTTTGTTTTGTAATCAACTATAATCCAGTTGTAAATTACTTCTACTCTCCTTACAAATAAACTAAATATTGCAAGTAACAAAAATTAATTTTGGTTTCTCTCCACCACAAATCAATATCTGGCTAGACAGTAGCATTTCTTAGAATAATTGAGTGGAAGAGACTGAGAGTCTGCTGATTATTTTCTGAAAATTTCTATGCAGAAAACTTCTAAGTCACATTTTAGAATCAATTTGGAAAAGTTTCACATTTCAACTTTGGGCTCCTCTATAGCACAGATAAAATATTTGGGGGATAATTTTTAGAAAAAGGAAACTGGAGATTAAAGGGAAGTAATATAGAAGGCAGAGTAAAAAGAGCTGTTTGTGCAACACATGCTTGCAAAAAATAAAATTAGTAAACAAGGGGCAAATAGTGCCAAAGCCTTAGACTGGCACTTCTGCATTTAGTGGGGAAAAGAAATAAGAAGTAGATGTAAAGGTTATTAACACAGTGTAGTGATTGCTGTAATATTTATGTTTCTGGCTTTCTACCTTCTGAGCACTTTGGGATCCCTTTATGGATGGGTGATAAGGTATGAATAGAATATATATGTCACTTTTACTTTTTCTTTTTTTTAATTAAAAATAAACAGAGGGATCTCCTTTTCTTGCCCAGGCAGGAGTGCAGTGATGTGATCGTAGCTCACTGCAGCCTTGACCTCCAGAGCTCAAGCCATCCTCCTGCCTCAGCCTCCTGAGTAGCTGAGACTACAGGCGTGTGCCACCACGCTAGGCTTATATATGTCATTTTTGAGCCTAAGCATTCAGTTACTACTGCCAGCTCTCTAGAGCTTTTTCCTCTGCCATTGTGACCAGCACTGTTTGAAATGGTGGTTACTTCATCAGATAGGTTCTAGATGGTGGTAAAAAAAGCACAAAATTCCAGCTGACCAATTATAGACACATAGAAGGGGCAAGAAATAAATTTTGATGTTTTTTGTCACTGAGATCATTGATTTTTTTATTACTGCAACATAATCTAGCCTTTCCCAACTAGTCTATACAATATTAGAAAGTTTGTCATATTCTGTCATGAAAAGGCCACACGTAGAGGTAGGGCTATAAACTATATACTTATAATGAAGACACTTAAAAAAATAACTGGATGTCAATGAAGATTTGCTCCACCAGTCATGTGAAGCTAAGTAAGTTAAAAATATGGTAGAAAAAATGACAGTAGGGAAATATAATCAGTTATTTACTGATTTCTTACAAGAATGGCATATACAAAAGCTGTATTCTTTGCTGAGCAAATGGTGAGGCTGGGAATGAGTGCTAAATAGCCCTGGACCTAGGGAGAAGTGAAAAGGGAGAGACATAGCAAAAGTTGATGGTCAAATAATGAAAAATACCAAAGCCAAGAGAGCTGGAAGAGTTGGATGCTGGAAGAGTGGAAGGGAAATGATGTGACTGTAGATCAATTAGAACTTTGGGGGTAAAATTGAAGTGTCTAATTGGAAATTATATATATACACACACACATATATATACATATATATACACACACACATATATATACATATATACACACATATATACATATATATACCCATATATACATATATACACATATATACACACATATATATACATATATACACACATGTATACATATATATACCCATATATACATATGTACACATATATATACACATATATACATATGTATACACATATATACATACATACACATATATACATACACATATATACATACATACACATATATACATATATACACATATACACGTATATACATATATACACGTATATACATATATACACATATATACACACATATATACATATATACACATATATACACACATAAATACATATATACACATATATACACACATATATACATACATACACATATATATACATATATACACACATATATACATATATATACACACACATATATACATATATATATACACATATATATATGAGACCGAATCTCTCTCTGTCTCCTAGGCTGGAGTGCAGTAGTGCAACCATGGCTCATTGCAGCCTTGACTTCATGAACTCAAGTGATCCTCTTGCCTTGGCTACCCAAAGTGCTGAGATTACAGGAGGGAACCACCTGTGCCTGCCTATGTTAAGTAATTTTGTGTAGCATGCAGATGCAACCTTCTCCTCTTTTTTTCCTACAAAATCTTCAGAGCATCTTTCAAATCAAATCACATTCCCACAAAGCCTTAGAAACTACTATAGGTTTAATCAAAATGTTGAGTCCTGATTCAAGGTAGGTGTTGGATAAAACTATTAGATCCCCATGGAACCCAAATACAATTGGTAAATAAACATGTTTTTCCCTATTTCAAGCAATGATAGTACTCTGTGCTTCTAGAGTCACAATGAGATTGCAAAAAATGAGTGAGGAGACTTATAACTAAGAAAGTAGTCAAAGCTATAGGAGAGTAATTTATAACTACCATTTTTACTGCTTTCAAATGCATTTTGGGGAAAACTTAGGTTGTCCTTTATTTGAAAACAATATTTTTAAAAATAGTAGGAATTATCTTGTTCTTAATAAAATCTTGGCTAAACAGTGATGGTTTTCAAACCAGTAACAGCTTCAAGGTAGGGAGGAGGCCAAGACAAGAAAGGTCTCAGCTTCCACCATCTCTTCCATTTAATTAGAATGTCTCTGCTTTCATATATTTTAAATATTGGAATTCCAGAAAATATTTGATTTAAAAAAATGTTTAAAGGTTCCTTTAGGAAAGTTTGAACACTTCTGGATATAATGTCTTTATCAGTGAAAGCATAATCAATAACATCCAACCTAATCTGAAATTTCAAACACTAGTCTGCCTGGAAAACCTAGGCAATACCATTCAGGACATAGGCATGGGCAAGGACTTCATATCTAAAACACCAAAAGCAATGGCAACAAAAGCCAAAATTGACAAATGGGATCTAATTAAACTAAAGAGCTTCTGCACAGCAAAAGAAACTACCATCAGAGTGAACAGGCAACCTACAGAATGGGAGAAAATTTTTGCAATCTACTCATCTGACAAAGGGCTAATATCCAGAATCTACAATGAACTCAAATTTACAAGAAAAATACAAACAACCCCATCAAAAAGTGGGCAAAGGATATGAACAGACACTTCCCAAAAGAAGACATTTATGCAGCCAAAAAACACATGAAAAAATGCTCATCATCACTGGCCATCAGAGAAATGCAAATCAAAACCAAAATGAGATACCATCTCACACCAGTTAGAATGGCAATCATTAAAAAGGCAGGAAACAACAGGTGCTGGAGAGGATGTAGAGAAATAGGAACACTTTTACACTGTTGGTGGGACTGTAAACTAGTTCAACCATTGTGGAAGTCAGTGTGGCGATTCCTCAGGGATCTAGAACTAGAAATACTATTAGACCCAACCATCCCATTACTGGGTATATACCCAAAGGATCATAAATCATGCTGCTATAAAGACACATGCACACGTATGTTTATCGCGGCACTATTCACAATAGCAAAGACTTGGAACCAACCCAAATGTCCAACAATGATAGACTGGATTAAGAAAATGTGGCACATATACACCATGGAATACTATGCAGCCATAAAAAAGGATGAGTTCATGTCTTTTATAGGGACATGGATGAAGCTGGAAACCATCATTCTCAGCAAACTATCGCAAGGACAAAAAACCAGACACCGCATTTTCTCACTCATAGGTGGGAATTGAACAATGAGAACACATGGACACAGGAAGGGGAACATCACACACCGGGGCCTGTTGTGGGGTGGGGGGAGGGGGGAGGGATAGCATTAGGAGATATACCTAATGTTAAATGACGAGTTACTGGGTGCAGCACACCAACATGGCACATGTATACATATGTCACTAACCTGCACGTTGTGCACATGTACCCTAAAACTTAAGGTATAATAAAGAAAAAGAGAAAAATCTTCCTGAAAGTTCTGTTTATACTTTTTTTTTTAATCAACACTACCTCACCTGCCATGAACCTCCCTTTATTGTACTCTCAAGACAACTGCAAATCTGCCACTCTGATCTTATGTGCTTAGAACATCTGTGGCATTTACCTTCACTTGTGCATGTCTCTCTATTTTCCACTAATGGGTTCATTTCACATTGTGTTTGTTTTTAAAGTTTCACTCCAAGCTTTTTTGTTTTTTTTTTGGGACGGAGTCTCACTCTGCCTGTCAGGCTGGAGTGCAGTGGTGCGATCTCCACTCACTGCACTCCGCCTCCTGGGTTCAATGATTCTCCCGCCTCAGCCTCCCAAGTAGCTGGGATTACAGGCATGTGCCACCATGCCTGGCTAATTTTTGTATTTTTAGTAGAATGGGGTTTCACCATGTTGGCCAGGCTGTCCTCAAACTCCTGGCCTCAGGTGATCCCCCGCCTCAGCCTCCCAAAGTTCTGGGATTACAGGCGTGAGCCACCGCGCCCGGCCTTATTGCAAGCTTTGTGTTCTCCCCTTGTCTCTGACTCCTTCAGCCTTGTGGCTGATTGGTGAATTTGTCAAAGTCAAGCACCAGGACTTCAGCTACCCATCTTTAATTACAGAAACAAATCAAACCAAAATAATATCGGTAAAGCAGAAATTAATTACGAGATAATTTATGTGTGTGTTTTATGATCCAAAATAGAGTTATGAGAAGGGATTCTGGCATATTTCAAATATAAACAATTTCTATCTTTAAGACAACTCTGCCAGGAGAAATACTGATTTATTTCTAGAAAGGGGCAAATCTTCCAAATAGCCTAGGAAGGCATTGGTAAATCAGGCTCCCAAGTTTTATTCTTCAGTCAACTTGTCATAGGAAACTTTCTTATGAAACCAAAAGTGTGGGATGAGAGCAAGAAGGGTAGTGCATCCGGTTTAAGCGTGTGTGTCAATCACTTGGTTATGCAAATTTCATGTGCCTTTAGGAGCTGCTCAAGCCTTATCTCCAATATACCACTTCCATTGCATAATGAGCTGCTGCTGCACATGCCCAGATATGGCTTAGTGGAATAGAGAACACTCCGCGTAAGACGAGTATTTTCAGTTCCTGGTCACTTGTCTTAGGTTGACCAACATGTTTAGTCTCCACCAGGACAAGGAACAATCCAGAGCTGTAACTCAAATGGAAAGTAACTACTGAAGAGTGCATTTTATTGCTGAAAACTCTGAAATACTCACATAAAGGTTTTGGCAGGCCTCACTCAACATTCTAATATCTCACAAAAAAACTGAAGCACCATTGGATAAGCTGGTGTTAAGGTTCAAGTGATACGGTATTTGGAATGCAAACCGGGAAAGCTAAGGAGCTTTCTCCAGGCCATATATAAAGTTGTACAGGTTACTTGGTAACTAGTCAGAGCAGCATACACAAATATGATTTATGTTACATCCCAAATCAATGATGCTCACTAAATGTTTAACCATTCTCTGTGGTTGGTAGTACAAGATACAGGAATTGTCATTCCTTGGAGACTACAACTGGGACATGCCCCAGAAAACTGGGCAGCCAGAAATTTCAATGAACTGGCATGCTCTAGAATTTTCTTGGGGTTTATCCATCATTAATTTGCATGTGTTTTTCTTCCCAAGATATTTTGTGTATTATACTCACCAGGTACAATAAGTCTGATGTTTCAATGTTGTAGGCAAAGGTAATGTGCTGTGGAAATATACCATGATCAACATCCCTGTTGACTAATTCATTATAGAGAATCAGAAAGTTAACATAGACATGAATAAGATTGTGAAAAAATACTGTTGACTCTTTCACATAAAAGAAAATTGATTCTGATAATCCTGGCTTATTGGTACTTAAAAATCAATTTTTATCTCAATAGTTTCATATCAGTTTGCTAAAATGCTTTGCTGATTCACTCCAGTAAAGTGTCCGTGTTTGGCAAAGCAGTTCCAATTCAGGTGACTACCTGACCTGTTAAGATATTCCAATATCATTCTCCAAGAACTATCTATTGTTTTCAGTGGTAAAACAGAAAAGTTAAATGAAGATGTGAAAGAATAGCGGCTGTCTTAGTTTCCTAGGGCTGCTGTAACCAAATACCCCCAAACTTGTCTAAAACTGGAAATTTATTGTCTTAGAGTTTTTGAGGCTAGAAGTCCAAAATAAATGTGTTGGCAGGGCCATTCTTTCTCTGAAACCTGTAGGAGAGAAGATTCCTTGCCTCTTCCTAGCTTCTGGTGGTGGCCGTGAATTCTTGGCTTTCCTTGGTTGCAGGTGCACCACCTCAATCTCTGCTTATCACATCACATGGCATTCTTCCTCTATGCACACCTCTGTGTCTTAACATTCTTCTCTCTTTGTCTCTCTCCTCTTCTTATAGGAACACTAATCATATTGAATTAAGAGCCCGCTGTACCCTAGTATGACCTCATCATAATTTAACTAATTACACCGGCAATGACCCTATTTCCAAATAAAGTCCCATACTGGGGCTTAGGACATCAGCATATGTCTTTTGGAAGACACAATTTAAACCATAACATCACCCCTGTATCTTTTCAAAACTTTGACATTGGTACTCATTTCTGCAATTTCCCCAAAAATTCAGTATTGGATCTGAGAAGAACAATTGTTTTAGGGGCTTCAAATATGCCCCTTTTCTTTTAATAACCTTTACTTCATTGGTCAGGGAGCATTTATTAGGATTCTGCTGAGTATAGTTTATGTGTACACCAACTATGCATTCAGAAACAAGGGAAATAATCTCAGGGTGTACTTGCAAACTCATGAGGCCTATTCTGACATGGACTTAGGCTGTTCCATTTATCTCCTGACCCTATGCCCTAAGCCCCTGGTTTGACTTGTCTAGTGATGGTGTTCTGGCTTCCCAGGGCCTGACTATTGCCCTTTCCTAGTTGACAGTAACTTTGGCAAATAGCTGCAGGACAATTTGGGAAAGACCACAAAGAAACTTCATATTACATACGTGTGGCAATGTCAAGGGGACATATTATCTCTTCATTCAAATGTCTGTAGAAATAGTGGTCTGGAATTGCTACAGGTCTGGAAAGTGGGAAGAAGTGCTAATCATTGTAGTGATAGCAATTCAAGTGAGGTGTACACAGGCCAAACCTATAGTTTTTTGTTTTTGTCTTAATTTTACATAAATCTGTAGGGCAAAAATCTTCTGCCCACTTATTTTAATCCATTGCCAGTGATTTCTAATTATAAAAGCATTTTGATTATCACTCTGGACTTGATTTCTACTACAGCAGAAAGAGGGGGCAGGAGAGACAGAGAGATTTCAAAGAATTGACTTATGTGATTGTGGTTGCTGGCCAGTCTGAAATCTGTAGAGCAGGACTGCTGGCTGGAAATTCTCAGGCAGGAGCCAACTTTGCCCTCCACAGGTGGAATTTCTTCTTCCTCGGGGACATCTTAATTATGTTTTTAAGGCTTTGGATGAAGCTCACCCAGATTTCAAAGGATAATCTCCTTCCCTTAAAGTCAAATAATATTGGCTGTTAACCCGTCTACAAAATACCTTCACAGCAACACCAAGATCAGTGTTTAATTAAATAACAGGGTACTAAACCCTAGCCAACTTGACACATGGAACTATTACAGTCGTATTTCTAAGATACATTAACTCAACGAAATAAGTCAGACCATTTTTATGGCAGCATTTCCCACTTTAATGCTGGCCTGCAGGGAAGAGTGTCTACAGAGCTTTATGATAATCTAGAGTATCTCTCACTTTGCATTTCTGAGTGATTTGGTGAAGAGTGTGTTCTCTAGGTCCCATAACAGACATAATTACAGGCTGAATGGGTAAGATAGAAAATAAATCAATTCCATCATTCCTACCTTCCTAAATCTTTGTATTCCTCTTACTACAGTATACCAAAACCTTCCTTGAATGCTTACATCATTCCATATGAGACAACCTTGAGTCAGAAGCACTCTCAAATGCTTGAGCTCACCCACTGATTTACAAATCTCTGGAAAATGCAGGCACATTATAAATTTCACCTAATCTAATATTTTTGGTTCTTTTTCCCTAATTTAGAACCTCATGTTGTTGCAAGGAAATTGGCAAAATCTTGAAAATTTTTGCTGTAAAGCTATCCCATACCATTGAAGACTTTCTTTGGGACCCCCTGGGCATGCTGGGGTCTGATTGTAAGTCAAAAAGCAATAACGTTGAGGGTGGGGTCACAAGAAAAGTTGTTTTTTTTTTTTTTTTTGGCAAGGAAACTACCCCAAGTGAGGACTTATAGGATCTACAAACAGAGTAGACTCAGCCTCATAAGACAAGGAAGAGGAGTTGCTACTGCTAACATGGGAGGACCATAGATTTGGAGGGCCAGATAACTCAGATTCTTTAGAATCTGTCTATGGATTCCCACCTGTATCTAAAAAAATGCCCTAAATTACATAGGAGAGCTGTTTCAGCAGCCTACACGATCAGACTTTGCCTTTGATTTTTAGCTACATCATCCTGATAAGACATCATTTTAGGGTAGTCACAAAGTCTCCTGGTCCTTATCAATTCCTGAAGCTAAGAATTTAAAACCTTGATTTAATTATTTTCCTCTTTTTCTCCCTCCATCTTTCCCTCCCTTCTTCATTCCCCCTCTCCCCTCCTTCCTATCACTCATTCCTTCCTTCCCTCCCTTCCTTCTTTTCTTTCTTCCTTACTTCCTTTTCCATTCCTTCCTTCTTTCCTTCCTCTCCTCCTCCGATATAGATTGCAATCACAAGTTTTCAGACCAATTTACACTTTGTATTCCTCTTTGTCCTCAAACAAGCCTGCTTTAGCAACCTGCTGTTCTAACAAAGCCTAGCATTTATTCCAGGTGACAGTGGACAATAATTTAAGTAACTTTATTTGGTCATGTGTACCTCATCTATTTTGTGTATCCCATTTTTTTAATGGTACTACATCCTTACTTCCTTTAATCCAAACCAGGTCAGATAATCCCAGATGCTTACTCCTAAGTGTTAACTTCTTGCTCCAAATATCTTATCAGTGTTGAAAGCAGAAACCACTCTAGTTATATTCAGAAGAAAAATCTTGACACAGATAATTAAACAATTTAAAAAAATCATCGGAAGGGCTTAGCCAGAATGCTCTAGGCTTAGTCTGTAGGAATGATTTCCAGACATATATAGGACTGACTCACAAGAGTCTATTTCACTGGAGGCCATTACTAGAGCTGAGTTTAAGAACAACCCTGAGGTTCTGATACAAGCTTTGAATCTTAATACCAAAAAATAAAAAAAAGAGAGAGAGATATATATTGGACATTGGAGCATTGCTTCAGGAAAATCTCACTTTTCCACAAACTCTGCCTCTGTTAAAACTTCCAAAACTGAAACTAGTCCATTTCATGGGCAGAATCTAATTAACGTACATAATCTAAGTTGCAAGGAAGTCTGGGATATACAGATTTCAGCTTTCCAATCTCACAAATAGGGGGGTGGATTGATGGTTGAGCAAGCCCTTCCACAATTTTTATCAAAAGTAGAAATCGAGCTGGGTGTGGTGATATGCACCTATGGTCCCAGCTGCTGGAGAAGCTGAGGCAGGAGGATAGTTTAAGCTCAAGAGTTTGAGTTTGAAGTGCAGGGTGATCATGCCTGTGACCAGCTACTGCACTCCAGCCTGGGCAACATAGTGAGACATCATCTGCAAAAAAGAAATTTAAAAAGTCTATGAGATGGAGACCTGCCCTTATAAGGTTGTTTTGCTAAGGACTTATCCTGCTTGTTTTGACATGTATGTGGGAGTTTTGTGTTTCCAGTGCCCTATAATTTCCATTATAGATGACAGAATCCATTGCCATCTCATAGTCTTCCTAATTCAGTCTTCACCCAGGAAGTATGAGGTCAGAAGACTTGGAAAGGACTGCTTTGAAGGGCACTGAGTTCATTTTCAAACACTGTGTTGGTATATCTAGCACTCAAAATTGGTTGGCCAGGACAGGCTTCCCTATTCCATAAGTAGAAATGCTACCTATAGACCTGTTGTATTAATCAACCTGTCTACACCTCATAGATGATATTCCTTCTTGTAGAACCCTAAGACACTTATAAGATTTTGGGAACCCTGCAGTGGTGGGTGGTAAAACAGCTCTCTGGAGGGCAAAACTATTTTTCAATGGTATAACATCAATTACTTCCTTTAATCCAAACCAGGTCAGACAATCCCAGATGCAGTGTTTATTGTTTGATTTGTAGTGTTTATTGTTTTTGGAGTTTAAATTCTCCCTGCGTGTCTGATTTCAGGGTACCAACTTGATGCCATTGAACATGGGACATGATGTGCATAATCAGCTCTTGGGAACCTTCAGGAGTGGGCTCCAACACCTCACTGGACCTCTGGGTTCCTAGTAGAGTGGAGGAAGTGTTCACTTAGCCACAACTTTGCCTCACCCTGGAGGCTGACTGAGGCATGTTAGTATACCCTCTCCCTGTAGTTCTGGAGTGAGGACATTGGAAAGCTAAACAGTGGTGCTTGATTCAAATTGCTTGATCCAATTTCTGTGGCCTTTGTCTGAAGAGGGAGGAATAAGAATGTGTCAACCTGGAATTCCCAGACTGGCTGATTGGGTCACATTTGGAAAGTCGCTGTGTGCACATCTGATTATCCTGAACCTAGGACTATGATTCATTCTTTCTTTCTCAGAACCTGTATCAGTTTGTTATATTGATTAGCATGACTGTCTGAATAGTGTCTTTCCATGTCAAATCTATGAAAGTTTGAACCTTATATGCTTTTGCTCAAAACTGTATTTCCTATACCTAGTAATTGTACCTAGACTGACACATAGGGAGATTGTAAAATAAATATTTTTTGAGTTAGTGAATGAACAAAGGAAACTGCATCCCAACTTCTTGACTCACCTATATGCCCATGAATGGCCCCTAGATCTTCCTGGGCCTTAACTAATAACAATTGGGCCTATAACTAATAACAATTAGTTATAATGAAATAACTAATTTATCCTTCTTTCTTCTTTGTGAGCAATATTCAAATGCAGATGTACTTTTCATTTACTTTGCTAAATAGACCTATATGTGCCTTTTAAACCTTCCTTATAAGTCAGGTGCCTTTATTTCACTCTACTTTAGATATTGTGCAGTCAAATACTAAATACAAAGAAATCCATCCTGGGTCTCAATAAAGTGATGTTTCTATCTTTTATTTATGATAAAGACCTTCATATTATTCACATCTAAGAACACAGTGAAACCCCCAAAGAATGGGGCAGATGAATTATACTGGGTCTATTATTAAGATAAATGAGAAGTATTTTGGATAATTCTTCAATTTTGGAAAGAATTAGGGATGCCTCCCAGTGAGACACTGCACTTGGGAAGATGAAATCCTCTACCTCAATGATTTTCTGCCCCCATTTCTAAGTTAACCTGCCAATTTCATGTCTACAACTGAGATCATTCATTCATTCAAAAATGTATTATACAACTATATTCTCTGATGTCCCCTTTGCCCGCTTTTAAATTGCTGTTATTTATAGAAGGGCTGTTAATTTCTTCAAGGGAGATCGAAAATAAATCTAATAAATGATACCTGAACATTAATTTCAAAAATATTTAGTGCAAAGAGCCAAATGTAATAGAAAACACAGGAAGAGCTGGTGACAATATCGTTTCGATTTTCAATTTCATCAGTTCATTACAATTTAAGGATTCTAGGTAAAATTTAAAGCACTTTCAGAAAAAGAAATTACCCTTAAAAATGAAATCCAAGGAACTCATTTTGTGGCTCCACAATCTCTCTCTTGTGCTGATGTCGCCTACCAAGGACAATAGTGATTGATTGAGAAACTTTCAGATTATGGAAAACCTATGTCAAAAATAGGGAAAATTTAAGAAAAGGGCTGGCCTAAAATGGAAGGCCAAGCTAAACTAGGTTGGATCTCCATCGGCTGGGGTTATTGGGGAGAATGTTTCAGCATTAGATGAGGGGTTGAAAGACATATAAAGCCCTCTTTAACCCTAAAATCTGTGCACACATATGCACATACACACACATAAATGAGGAATGTTTCAGTCAATGAACTGTATAATAATATCCATCTAAGTGCATCGTAGCATTACCTGATTGTCTACAAATCTTAATGTCAGTTTATAAGCTTCATAAAGTCATGAAATGTCCAACACTCTCATTGTACATATGAGAAAACTGTGCTTGCTCCTGTCTTATTTCACGATATTGATGGTGTCTCAGAATACTGACGTGATTTGCTCAGGACTATAAAACTGTATGCAGTTACAGGAGTAGAGCTAAAGACCAGATCTCCTGATGCTAACATGATAGGTGCAATTTTTCTACTACCCTGCCTTGCATCTTAAGTTGCAGTCCCCTACGGGAAAGAGACCAAATTTATTTCTTTCCATGCTTTCAGAAAATAAATACATTCACAATATATTTTTGCCACTCTTCTTACTGAAGAAAACATTAGCGTTTTTAAATTGTGGAATTAGGAATTTAGAATGAGGCCCTCTACCTTACATTGAGCTGAAAGTTTGTTTCACAGCATAGCAATTGGGAAGAGAGAGGGATGGCTAAGAAGTTTAAAGCACTGAGCACAAATAAGGCCAGAGATAAGAAATAGTTATTTGTGAAATTTTCTGTAGAAGTTACCTTTTGTTTTGGAAACTTCTGAAAGAGCAATTTAGAAAGTCTTCCACTGGTAAAAGATGCTTTTAAATATACTTTTAAAAATACAGTGCAGTGAGAATTAAATCACCAGGCAGCTGTAAACTGTAGGACAAATAAAACTACAAATTACATTTATAGGACACATTTCATCCAGAGGAATCCCAGAGCACTTTATAAATGGATTAGAAAGCATACATCTAGGAATCAGCTCACCCACAACTGAAATACTTCTACCTCCGGGGCCCGTCCAGGCAGCTTGTTAGCAAAAGACAGCCATGCTGCACTCCAAAACGGGCAAAGAGAGCCGGGTCCTAACCGACCCACATGTCAGCTCCTGATTCAATGCCAGGGAGCTGTGCATTACAAAGCATGGTCCTGAAATGAAAATTTTTAAGAAATTTCATTAGGACCAGTCATCCAGGAAATTATGATGTTTCTCTC
This sequence comes from Homo sapiens, assembly GCF_000001405.40. Lineage (NCBI taxonomy): Eukaryota > Metazoa > Chordata > Mammalia > Primates > Hominidae > Homo > Homo sapiens. The sequence continues at coordinate 105,635,104 of NC_000003.12, forward strand.
TCACAGCACAGTGAATAGGACATGGGCTTTGAAATCAGACAATCCTGGGAGAAAAATCAATTTGGCCATTTATTAGTTGTGTGATCAGGGGCAAGTTATTTAACTGCTCAAAGTCTTAGTTTCCTTCTATGCATTTGTTTCTATAGTAAATGAGATGATATAAGACCTTAGCCCTCTGCTTGGGAAATAGCAAACATTCAATAAATGTTTGTTTTATTCTTTTGCTATGGAGTAGAGAAATTATCCCTTCTTTTTAAACATTACTAAAAACCAATTTAAATTTGCTTTCTTATTCATGTTTGTGTCTTCTTCACCACTATTATATAGGCACATACATATATACATGTAATATATATGACATATATCAATACAACTATTTTACTGTATGTGAATACATACATATATATCATATGATGTACACATATATACTTGGTCGGGGGGAATATTACATTTGCACCCTTTTCCTACACCCCACCATTGTTAAGAAAAGGCCTGGAAAGAGAATGAAATCTAGCACACGTGTAGAGGGAGTAACTTACACCGGAAGAGCTATTTTGTGGTGTCAGGTGGGGAAGCTGTCTATGAGAGCAGAGGCTCATAGGTGGGCAGATATGGTAGTGCCAGTCGTAGGAAGGTTTTACTGATTGCTTCAATGTTCTCATATCCTCAGTGCCGTGGAAGTAAAACAATCAGCTAGAGTGAAGGTGGGGCAGGAGATTAGGGAGATTTAAGGAAACAGAAAGGATATAAAATTCTCATCGAAGAAACAGTGAGAATAAATAGCCTGGGTAGATAGGCAGGATTTCTGGCCAGCATTAAAGTCCTTCTTGAAGTCTGGGATCATATTTTTAAAGTAAGACTAGTCAGCATGTTGAAATCTTTCTTTTGCCATGAGTAGCTGCACGGCTGTAAACATGGAGTAGGCAGAGAATTTGATTTAACCAGTGTTTAAATGTGATCTAATGAGGACTTAGTTGTGCCAAGAAAACCTAATGACAAGAGAGGGGCAAGAGAATGGAGAGTGTATGCAATGGAGGGATTATAATGGTTGGCCTAGAATTTAAGCTGTGAAAGGAGAGAAAGAGAACATCAAGGATGTGAGGGAGAATGACAAGGTGGTAGAATTAATAAATTGGAGTTACTGAGAATATTGAGGAATCAGGACCCAGTATATTAGAGGAGGTGAATTAGAAAGATAGGAGCTAGTGATCAGATAACTTGCTGCATGAAATTGAGACTATAGAGGGTTGTTGTTATTAGCATTGACAAGGTCTAGAGTGTGACCCTAGGTGTGAGTGGCCAAGGTAGAATGGAAGACAAGATAATTGGAGTAGAGAGGGTCAAAGAGCTAGGAGGCCACGGTGTTGGAAGAATCATCTACTTATATACTAAAATCACTAATTCTTATAACAGCAATAGTGTGAGAGGGACCTTAATTCATCCAGGTTTTAGCAGAGCAAGGGTGAAGCCAAATGCCCCAGGAGTTGGTTAAGGCCTGCAACAATAGAATGTAGTTAATAATTTAATCTAATTCCATGAGATTCAGAGCCAGTGGGACCTGAGGGTCTTTGTGACCTGTGATGATAGAAATAAAGAGATTTAGGGGGAAATTAAGAATAAACCATTATCCTACCACTATACCATGATAGTATTTTGGAATGCATTCTTGCAGAGTTTTAGGTACTTATCCATACTGAATAGAAAGAGTGTAGTCAGTAATACTAGAGATCTGTAAGTCAGCTGCTCTCTTTACCTCCCTGGAGAAATCAAAGCACCTACCAGTGATGGAGGAAAACTATTTTCATTGGATGACGAAAGAGAAATTGGGAAGAAAGCATAGATTACTGTCTCACTCAAGGAGTCAGTCAAGCAAGGAACAACCAGAAAAGCTCAGCCACATGCTTACTCCAGGCACGAGAAATATAAAATCCAAAATCATTTACAGCCCACATGTTGTGGGAATTTAGGAGTAGTATCACTAGTCATAATCATTGAAGGTATTTTTCCCTGTCTGTTGTTGTTTATCTTTATTCTAGGTAATCAGATGTATGAACTTTATCTGTTGGGGAGATCTTCTATTCCTCTTGGCCCAAGTTTTCCCCGCAGGTACATGCAGACCAATATATCACATGGTGAAAACAAACTCGCAGGGGAACAAAGTCACTTTCTCCAGTGAACTCAATCAGTAATGAAAGTGTTCTGATCTACAGCTCATGAGCCTTATTTCTAAAATTGCTCTGAAAGTGGGGAGAGAAAATGGGGGAGTTATGTATTTGTCCATCTATCCCGCCCATATATATACTTTACCCTTCATGTTTTCTGGCTTTTTAATGTCCTGTTTCAAAAGGTCTTGACCAGAACAAGATAATGTGTTTTTTCCATATTGTATTCTAGCACATTTATGGTATCATCTTTTATGTTTAAGTTTCTGCTCCAGCTCAGATTTGCTTTGTATGAAATAGTGATTTAATTTTATTTTTTCAAAATAATGTTAGTTGTTCTAAAACCATGTATTAAATAGCCCAGATTTCCCCCACTGATTTGAAATGATAATGTGTATAGCCAAGATATCAGATAACATCATCTTGTCTTTTGTGCATCAAATGAAATGGTCTCCAACCACAAATCTACAATTTCTTACACTCTCTGGGTATTCTTGTGAAGTGTCATCTCGGGCTTAAATTGAATTACCTCAGCCTTCGTTTGTCTGAAAGACTTTGTTTAGTCATCTCTCTCTCTCTCTTTTTTTTAGATATACATTTTCTAGATTGAAGTTTTGCTTATTTCATCGCTTAAAAAATGTCCTGTATATGTTGTTTCTTTTTCTTGGTGTGGTGGCAGGAAGCTGCCTGTTAAGATATTCTCTTAATATTTGTTTTTCAGAATTAAAAATTGCAGGCCTTTGTGTGGTTTTCCTAGCATTTATCTTACATAAATTTGTTGAGCCTCTTAGATCAGGGTCTACAGTTGTTATCAAATTTCAAATTTTTGCAAAGACTATTTTTTTAATTAGTTAATTAATTAATTAATTAATTTTATTATTATTATGCTTTAAGTTTTAGGGTACATGTGCACAATGTGCAGGTTAGTTACATATGTATACATGTGCCATGCTGGTGTGCTGCACCCATTAACTTGTCATTTAGCATTAACACTCTGGGGACTGTTGTGGGGTCGGGGGGGGGAGGGATAGCATTAGAAGATATACCTAATGCAAAGACTATTTCTGCAATATTTTGTTCTGTTTGTTTTTAGAGACAGAGTCTCACTTTGTCACCCAGGCTGGAGTGCAGTGGCGCGATCTCGGCTCACTGCAACCTCCGCCTCCTGGGTTCTTGCAATTCTCCTGCCTCAGCCTTCCAAGTACCTGGGACTATTAGAGGTCCACGCTGCCAGGCCCGGCTAATATATATATATATATTTTGTATTTTAGTAGAAACAGGGTTTCACTGTGTTGCTCAGGATGGTCTCCAGCTCCTGAGCTCAGGCAATCCACCCGTCTTGGCCTCCCAAAGTGTTAGGATTACGGGCGTGAGCCACCGCGCTTGGCCTATTTCTGCAATATTTTTTATGTTCCTTCCTCCTCTCCCCTTACGTCTCTAATTATGTGCATATATATATTCATATTATATGTACATATATAACTTTATCCTCAGGCTAGGCTTTGTCCTTATCCTAGGCTATATACATATATATAATATATATACATAATCATAGAATATATATTGAATCATATATATGTATATGATTATGTACGTATATTATACATAATATATATCCTAGGATATACACATATATAAATAGCTTAATTATGTACATAATTATATGTAATTATGTGTATATATAAATATATAACATATATATTAGAACACTTGATATTAAACTAAGGTCACTAATATTTCTTTTTCAGTTTATCTCTCTGCTTCATTTGGATGTATGTTATTAATATAACTTCAAATACTGTGTTTAATTTGCTCTTAAACTAATCCAGTGAAATTTTTGCTTTCATTTGATTTTTTTTAAATGTCTAACATTTATCTAATTTTATTCATATTTTTCTTTCTATATAGTTATGATAGCTATTATAATATATGCTTGTTCCATTATCTCTGGCATTTCTGTATCTGTTTCCATTAATTGAATTTTCCCCTGGCTATGAGTTGCATTTTTTGCTTCTGGTATATCTAGTGATTATGACAGGATGCTGGACGTTATGATGATTACTTGGTTGAAGGTCTGGATTTTATTGTCTAATTTTAAAGAGTGCTGAGCTTTCTTTTATCAGGGAATCAAGCACTTATGGATGAGTTTGATCACTTTGAATCCTGCTTTAATTTTGTTCTAGTGGGCCTGGATAGTTCAGGCCTACTGCTGAGGCATGATGCCTCTGGGTTCCACTGAATGACGTGATGACCACTGGGGACATTCCACTGTGCCCGACTGGAGCTCAGTAACCCAGTACCCACGGTGAGCTCTGGAAATTGCTCTTTATACAATTCCTTGGTCATCCTTCATTCTGCTTTGTGGAGTTTTACTCTATGCATGTGTGGCATAGTCCTTAGCAGACACTCAAGGAGAAGCGAATTCAGGTATCTGGGATATATTTTCTGCATATCTCTTTCCTTTTCTGGAACTCTGCCCACAGATTTCACCTGCATTGGTCTCCTTTAGCACTGATTGCCAACTTAACTTCATAAGACTGCCACACTCTCTTTAGTTTTCACCTTGTTCGCCTATAGTCTGGAAACTGTTGCCTAATATCGGAACATGGTTATTTTTCAAACATTTTTCAATATTTTTCAAACATTTTTCAATATTTTTTCCACACTCAGGCCTAGTTTTCTGGTTATTTATATCAGGAGGCTAAGTCTTGCTTTTGTTGTCTTCATCACTGGAAGCAGAAGTCAAATCTTCAGACATTTTCTATCAATCTACTTATCTGTTTGCATGTGATTTTTTTGGTACATATTATTTCAACCCCTTTTTCATGTTTTTTTTTTGTGAATTTTACTATAATGTATCCAGATATGAGCTTACTTTTATTTATCCTGATTTGGCATTTTCGTGCTTCTCAAATGTAGGATTTCACTTAGTTCACTATTTCTATCACATTCTCACACACTTAATGTTTTCAGCAGTGGCTTTCCACAAATCTCTCCATTTTCTCCATCTGGAATTCTTTTCAGCTTATGTTGGGCCTTTTAATTATGTCTTCCAGGTCTCTTATTCTATCAATTTTGTTGTATTCTGGTTACTTTCCTATAATCTGTCTTCCCATTATTAAATCTCTATTTCTAGATATTCTATTTATCTTTATTCAAATCTTTTTTATTGTTCCTTTTCTCATTGATAGAATTCATTTTTCTTTGCCTCAGTAATTATATATCCACATTTATTCTGTGTTATTTCCAGACTATATTCTATCAATTAAATTCTTGCTTACATAACCCTCATGGTTGCTGGGACTCTGACTCCTCTTCTTGGTGTTTTCTCATTGTGTGTTGTATTAGTCCATTTTCACACTGCTGATAAAGACATACCTGAGACTGGGCAATTTCGAAAAAAAGAGCTTTATTGGACTTACAATTCCACATGCCTGGGGAGGCATCACAATCATGGAGGAAGACAAGGAGGAGCAAGTCACATCTTATGTAGATGGCAGCAGGCAAAGAGAGACAGAACTTGTGCAGGGGAACGCCTCTTTTTAAAACCATCAAATCTCATGAGATTTCTTCACTGTCATGAGAACAGCATGGGAAAGACTTGCCCCGGTGATTCAGTTACCTCCCACCAGGTCCTTCCCACAACACGTGGGAATTCAAGATGAGATTTTGGTGGGGACACAACCAAACCATATCATTCTGTCCCTAGCCACTCGCAAATCTCATGTCCTCACATTTCAAAACCAATCATGCCTTCCCAACAGTCCCCTAAAGTCTTAACTCATTTTAGCATTAACTCAAATGTCCACAGTCCAAAGTCTCATCCTAGACAAGGCAAGTCCCTTCCAGCCTTGAGCCTGTAAAATCAAAAGCAAGTTAGCTACTTCCTAGACACAATGAGGGTACAGGCATTAGGTAAATGCAGCCATTCTAAATGGGAGAAATTCGTCAAAATGACGGGGCTACAGGCCCTGTGCAAGTCTAAAATCCAGCGGGCCAGTCAAATCTTAAAGCTCAAAAATTATCTCCTTTAACTCCATGTTTCACATCCAGGCCATGCTGATGCAAGAGATGGGTTCACATGGTTTTGGGTAGCTCTGCTCCTGTCGCTTTGCAGGATACAGCCTCCTTCCTGGCTGCTTTCATGGGCTGGTATTGAGTGTCTGCAGCTTTTCCAGGCACACGGTGCAAGCTGTCAGTGGATCTACCATTCTGGGGTCTGGAGGACAGTGGCCCTCTTCTCACAGCTCCACTAGGCAGTGCCCCAGTAGGGACTCTACGTGGGGGCTCCAACCCCACATTTCCTTTCTGCAATGCCCTAGCAGAGGTTCTCCGTGAGAGCCCCACTCATGCAGCAAACATCTACCTGGACAACCAGGTGTTCCTATACATCCTCTGAAATCTAGGTTGAGGTTCCCAAACCCCAATTCTTGACTTCCGTGCACTCGCAGACTCAACACCATATGGAAGCTGCTGAGGCTTGGGGGCTTGCACCCTGTACAGCCACAGTCGGAGCTGTACCTTGACTCCTTTTAGCCATGGCTGGAGTGGCTGGGATGCAGGGCACCAAGTCCTTAGGCTGCACACAGCAGGGAGGCCCTGGGCCCAGCCTATGAAATCATCTTTTCTTCCTAGGCCTCTGGCCTGTGATGGGAGGGGCTGCTGTGAAGACCTCTGGCATGCCTGGAGACATTTTCCCCATTGTCTTGGGGATTAACATTCTGCTTCTCATTACTTAGGCAAAATTCTGCAGCCAGCTTGAATTTCTCCTCAGAAAATGGAATTTTCTGGAATTGTCAGGCTTCAAATTTTCCAAACTTGTATGCTCTGCTTCCCTTATACAACTGAATTCCTTTAGCAGCACCCAAGTCACCTCTCAAATGCTTTGCTGCTTACCAATTTCTTCCACCAGATACCCTATATCGTCTCTCTCAAGTTCAAAGTTCCACAAATCTCTAGGGCAGGGGCAAAATGCCACCAGTCTCTTTGCTAAAACATAATGAGAGTCACCTTTGCTCCAGTTCCCAACAAGTTTCTTATCTCCATCTCAAGCCACTTCAGCCTGGATTTCATTGTTCATGTCATTATCAGCATTTTTGTCCAAGCCATTCAACAAGCCTCTAGGGAGTTCCAAACTTTCTCACCTTTTCTTGTCTTCTTCTGAGCCCTCCAAACTGTTCCAGCCTCTGCCTGTTTCCCTGTTCCAAAGTTGCTTCCACATTTTTGGGTATCTTTTCAGCAGCACCCCACTACTAGTACCCATTTACTGTATTAGTCCATTTATATGCTGTTGATAAAGACACACCTGAGACTGGGAAATTTTCAAAAAAAGAGGTTTATTGGACTTACAGGTCCACATGGCTAGGGAGGCTTCACAATCATAGTGCAAGGCAAGGAGGAGCAAGTTACATCTTACATAGATGGCAGCAGGCAAAGAGAGGGAGAACTTGTGCAGGGGAATCCCTTTTTAAAACCATCAGATCTCATGAGAATTATTCACTATCATGAGAACAGCATGGGGAAATACTTGACCACATGATTCAATAATCTCCCACCAGGACCCTCCCATAATACATGAGAATTCAAGATGAGATTCGGGTGGGGACACAGGCAAACTACATCATGTGTTTTGTAGCATTTTTACACAAAGTGGGGCTTTGTTTTCTGTACAAAGAGTGGATGATCTGGATTGTGGAATTCAATGTTTCTTTCAGGAATTTTAGGGGTATTACTCATCATGAACTATTTTTGAATAATTGATTGACTTACAGGTCCTGGAAATCTAGGGTGCTATAATTTCAATATCTAAATAGGCAAAATTTTCATAACTTGGCTTTTCAAGGGATACTTATTGTCTCTCTAGAGTCTAGGTAGAGACAGGTATGCTCCCCTTCAACTCCCTATGTTTACGCACAGGCTTTTCCCTAATTTGCCTTTTGCTGAAATTTTAGCGCTTTGAGATTCTAGTTTTATGTAGGAATCTCTATTTTAACTTTTACTTGGCATGGTCCCATGGCCTACCTACTGTCCATGTAGGGCATGAGCTTTATGAAACAAGCTCTTCCATGATTCAGAACAATAATGGACCCTTGGGCAGCCACAACATATATTCTCATGTTTTTTTATTCTAGTTTTTAGTTCACTATTTGTTTCCTGCATCTTGAGATTTCCTTTTCTTTCTTGAAAAGTTCCATTATAAACTCAAAATTACTTTTGTTTTATTGTATTCAGCATCTCTACTTACTTTTAAGAGGAAATGTTTCAGTTTCATAGACAATAATCTGACCAGAAATTGTATATTTTTAAAAGAACCAAAAATGAAAATTGCTTCTCATATGAACATAATATAGACACGAAATTCAAAATGGTCACAGTTTCCTAACCCTTTCCTATCTTTAGAGTTATCTATTTAATTTAATTTTTGGCAGAATATATTTACTACATATTTTGATGAATAAAATATCTTACTGATGATGTCAATCAGGCAGAGGTGTTTTGTATTCAGTCCTTGAATGTCACTGTGTAAATTAAGGAGTTATAATTTAATTCCTGTATAAAACGGTGGATTGTAAACCTGGCTCTATATCAGAAACATTTTTAGAGCTTGGTGAACATGATTTGAGGTTGTGATTGAGTAAATCTTGGGTGCAGCCATGTATAAATGGAATTAAACCTTAATCCTACTTCAAATAACATGTCCTGAAGCCTTCAAGCCCTAAAAATCTTGTGCTCCACCAAGTCTAAAACACTGCTAACCAATATCCTGTTAGCCATAGAATTTGAAATTGACAAAAAGAGAAAAACAAAAAACTCTCATTTGAACAATACACCTTTATGTAGGGTGTGCAAACTAGTGTTTTCTTTCCTAGTACCCTATGTGGGAAAGTGCCAGTTGACCCCATTTCGTTTTTGGAATGTGCAGAAATTTAAAATTTTTATCCTTCTGATAATTAGAATTAAACATCCTGCTTATTTGTTTTATTAACTTCGCTTTGTTTTAAATGTAGATAGGATTAAGCTCAATACATACTTGCTGAGCTCTACTTTGTATCTCTTTCAGAAATCTTTTTATTGCCACTCTAAACTGCTATATAGCACCTGAAATTTTATTCTCAATTTTCCATTTAATCTTTTTTCTGAATAGTATTATAAATTTCTTGGGGTCAACCATCCCCAAATAAGTACGCTTATCATTTTATACCACTGTGCCTAGTATAGGCATTTAATATAGGGGTACTCCATAAATGTCTAATTGATCTCATGGCCTTTATTTGACATGCGTTTTCCACATAATTACCCACTCTCTACTCTTTTCCCAGTTTATTTATTCATCCTTTCTCTCACTGTACACGCTCTTGAAACCATAGATATATGATCGTCAAGAGGCTATTTCATGAATGTATCACCTGAATACTATAATTATGGTCATGTCTATCTATAATATTCCTAGAAGCACTACAAATTTCCCTGAGGACTGCCTTAATACCAGAAATCTACACTCATGAACACTATTGCACCTGTGCAGTAAAGCCTAGTATTTTACTACCTACTATTATACTTCAAATTTATTCTTGGGGGAAACACATTAATATATTAAAAACCTTAACCCAGAGTACTTGCTCTGTTCATGATAGAGTAGCTGGTATTTGATCAACCCACTGGCCAATAGAAAACAACTAAGAGAAGGGGTGGGGGTGGGAGAGAGAGACAGTGTGTGTGTGTAATGATACTGCAGAGCAACTACGCAGGGGACTAGAGCTCAAACAAAACAAAACACATCAATTTAACTGGACTGAGTATGTAGACATCATGGCAACCAGAAGTGTAAAATCCCAGACAGAAAGCAGCCATAAAGAAGGGAGGAAGCCGGGAGCGGTGGCTCATGCCTGTAATCCCAGCACTTTGGGAGGCCGAGGTGGGTAGATCACGAGGTCAGAGGTTCGAGACCAGCCTGACCAACATGGGGAAACCCCGTCTCTACTAAAAATACAAAAAAAAAAAAAAATAGCTGGGTGTGGTGGCAGGTGCCTGTAATCCCAGCTACTCAGGAGGCTGAGGCAGGAGAATTGCTTGAACCCGGGAGGCGGAGGTTGCAGTGAGCTGAGGTCACACCACTGCACTCTGGCCTGGGCGACAGAGTGAGACAGAAAAAAAAAAAAAAAAAAAAGAAGGGAGGATAAAATTCCACATATAATTTTTCCTCGTGGTATTAACTCTTAAATGTCACAGAGAAATTTACAAAATCAGGAAGATGGCAGCAGTTGGAGTTTAAAGAGCTGAGGAGAAATTTTCCACTATGCTGGGGACATGTAGATAATGTTCAAATTCTGTCCAGTTAAAGGGGCCCAGTAAACACTAGGCATTCTCTTGAAGCCCTGAAAGACCATGTCCTAGGATTAAGAGCAAAACCCAAATAGCCCAAAGACTAAAGCCATCCTTTAAAATTATAAGTAATCCATGTGAACGTAATACACCCTTAAAGATATTTTAGTGGTTTTTGGAGAAAGAAAACATCATCAAAAGCCTCCACAATTTCTTATCCACAGTGTCTGGCATCCAATCAGAAGCTATAAGCTAAACCAAAGAAAAAAAAAGTGTAGAAAAGGACATATGGTATGGATGATTCAGATATTCGTATTTTCAGAAAACAATTTTAAAATGAATACAATTAAATTGTTCAAGAAAATATAGGATTGTATTTGTAGTTTCAAAAGATACCTGGAATCTATAAAAGCAATTCAAAGAAAAATTCAATTTTAAAATGGAAAAACATGTTTTAATTATTCGATAGTTGTAAAGAATGTGTATTGTAATCTCTAAATTAGGAGAGTAACTATCAAGAGAATTATTAAAGACTGTATCATTAAAAAACTGATAATGGTGGCTCGCTCCTGTAATCCCAGCACTTGGGGAGGCCAAGGAGGACAGATCGCCTGAGGTCAGGAGTTTGAGACAAGCCTGGCCAACACGGTGAACCCCATCTCTACTAAAAATACAAAAATTAGCTGGGTGTGGTGGCAGGTGGCTGTAATCCCAGCTACTTGGAAGGATGAGGGAGAAGAATCACTTGAACCCAGGAGGGAGAGTTTGCAGTAAGTCGAGATGGCGCCATTGCACTCCAACCTGGGTGACAAGAGTGAAACTCCATCTCAAAAAAATAAAATAAAATAAAATAACAAAACAAAAAACTGATGATGGAGGAAAAAATGGAATAATAAAAAAAGCCTGAATTATACAAAGCAAGTCAAGGAAAAAAGAAACACGTGAATGAAAATAAATAGAAAGACAGTAGAATTAAACCCAAGTATGTAGTTAATTAACTGGCATTTATCTGAACTAAATATTCTAAATAAAAGGCAAAGATCATCAGCCTGGCTGATAAGGTAATTATATAATAATACATATATACATATATACATACATACACATATATATACATATATACATATATATACACATATATATACACACACACATGAAACACACTTTAAACGTGGAGAAAATAATTGAAATTTAAAATATAGAACAGTTGTACATGAATACATGAATAAAAAGAAAATAAATATGGTTTTATTAATATAGAAAAAGCAAACTTTAAGAAAGAATATTTCATAATGATTAAGGTCAACTCAATAGGAAATGAAACAGCCCAAATTTGTATACATCTTATATCATAAATTCAAAATATATAAGTCAGGTGAAAACAAAAAAGGGAATAGAGAAAAGCATAATTAACTGGAGATTTTAACTGTCCACCAAAGGGTAAAGACATATAAGACAAAAAAGGAAATAGAGAAAAGCATAATTAACTAGAGATTTTAACAGTCCACCGAAGAGTAAAGACATATAAGTCATGAAAAAAAAAAGAGCTCTAGTGCAGTGGCTCATGCCTGTACTCCCAGCACTTTGGGAGGCTGAAGCAGGAGATTGCTTGAGCTCAGGCAGACAAGGCCGTAGTGAGTCATAATTGCATCACTGCTCTCCAGCCTGGGAGACAGAGCAAGACCTTGTCTCAAAAGGGAAAAAAAAATGAACTAACTTCACTTAATTGCCACTAATTACATTTATTGAACATTGTGCTATATAGTTGCAGAATAGACTTTTTCCCAGTGCACATGGAATATTTACCAAAAAAGACCATATATTGTCACAAAGCAAATCTCAAAAAATTTTAAAGGACTGAAATAATTCAGAGTATTTTTTTTTGACTATGTTAAAATTAAACTAGAAAAAATAAAAGAAACTTAGAAAATTTAATTTGTTTGCAAATTAACCAATATATCTCTAGATGAGCACTACCATTCAAGAGAAACGAATGCATATGTTCCATATAACACATACATGAGAGCATTTGTAGCATTTCATACTCTTAAAAAGGAAATAGCCCAAATGCCCTTCACTGGGTGAATGAATAAACAAGTTATGGTATATTCATACATACATAGCAATTAAAAAGAGCAAACTGCTGCTACATGGAACCATGTGGATAAATTCTGTAGAAATGTTATTGATTAAAAGAATCCAGACACCAAAATATATGCACTGTATGATTGCATTATATAACGTTCAAGGATGGGTAAAATTTCTCTCTCATGATAGAAGTCAAAAAATACTTCTGGAAGGGAAGATGGTATTGATTGGGAAGGTACATGATGGAATATTTGGAGTGTAGAAAAAAACTGCAAAATCATCTTACAGGACACAGTCATGCAAGTATGAGTGTGTGTTTCTGTGGGTGTATGCATACAATTTACTGTAAGCATGTTATACTCTCTGTTATGAGCTGAACTGTGTCCCTTCAAAATTCATCTGCTGAAGACCTAACCCCTAGTACCCCAGAATGTGAAGGCATTTGGAAATAGGGCCTTCAAAGAGAAATTAAGGTTAAATGAGGACATATGGGTAGGTCCTAATCCAATCTGAAAAACTAGGTGGGCATAGTGGCACACTCCTGGAGTCTCAGCTACTTGGGAGGCTGAGGCTGGAGGAACACTTGAGCCCAGGAGGTCGAGACTGCAGTGAGCTATGATTGTGACACTGCATTCCAGCCCAGGAAACAGAGCAAGACCTCATAACAAGGGGAGTCTGGACACACAGAGAAACACAGGCGCCTGCTTTAACAGGAAGAGGACCTTCTGATGAGGCAGCAAGAAAGCGGCCATTAGCAAGCCAAGGAGAGGGGTTTCAGGAGAAACGAAGGCTGCCAGTGCCTTGACCTTGGACTTCCGTGCTCCAGAAATGGGAGAAAATAAATTTCTGATGTTTAAGCCTCCCAGTCTGTGATATTTTCTTATGGCAGCCCTGGTAAACCAACAGAACTCCCAAAATAGAAAACAGTAACTAATGTAAGTGCTTAATATACTCATTTAATCCTTTCTACTACCTTATGTAGTAAATACAATAATTATGCGTTTTACAGAGAAGAAACTTAAACTTGTCAAAGATCATAAAGGTATTCAGATGCAGTCCAGTAATATAACTGTATTGTTTGACTCTAAAGTCCCTATGTTAATTCCTAGGTTACATTCTTTACACAGTTTCTTTTAGCTAGTAGTTAGCTAGCAGAGGGCAATGGTTCTGCAGACATGGCCAGGAAAGTTTTTGGATATGAACACTGAGAAAAAGAAAACTCCAGAGCATGGGGCATTGTCAAAAGAGTAAGACTAAAAGGACCTCTAGCATAAAGGGTGTGGGTGAGGGTGAGGGTAGGTACCCGTAGAGCACTTATCCTCTGGATAAAGTGTCAGCAATAGGGAAGATGTTGTTCGCGCTTCACGCTTGACTCCTAACACTCTTAACTAGTTATGAATGTTTCCCACTATACCCCCAGATCCTAAACTCCTGCAGCAAGGACTACGTCTCATTTTCATTATCCTGTATGGTATGGGACACTGAAGGACCATGAATGTGTATTGAGTTAAATGGAAAGGACTGACAGATCTTTCAAAATGAACTTGTCCTACTTTACACTGTTTTCCTTAAAACTAGTCCCGCTCTCATTTTGAATCTCTAATGGTGGAAAATAAATTGCAGTCTCACATACTAATTCCGAAGTTCCCTGTAAGTTTTATTGATTAATGCTAATCAAATATGCTAAATATGCCAAATGTGCCTGTTGCACATAAAATGTGATCCAGCAGTGCATTTTTGGTACCATATTTTCTGTCCCTTTAATATCTTTATACTCCTCCAGAGCGTTGTTTTATCTCCTGTGTCTTGCATTTTCCTGCTCCCTTTTGCTCTGTGCAGTTGTCTCCCTGTCTTTTTCTTCCATTTTCTCTGATTTACTCCCTTTTGAGGGGGTTGTCACTGGTTCAGCATCTAGTGATTGATAATAATGTCCTGTTCTCACACTATAATTGCTGTGACGAGACGGCAGGCGCAGCAGGCTGCCACAATTTTACCACTGACTAAAGAGCAGATTTGCTGCATGCTGATTAATTGAAGGGGTGCCTCAAATGAGGAAGTAACTATCTCTTCTCAAATGCCTTCTTTCTTCAAGTAAAGATGGAATCACCAACCATACACTAGAGCACTCATCCACAGTGGTCAAAGCAATATATCTTTCAATATATTATTAATTGGTTTTCAGGACTTTTCAAGATAATGCTCATTTAGCTTTTCCCAAGTTCTTTTAAATAATTGCAAGGCAGTCCTTCTATTTTTCCTTATAGATAAGGAAACTAGGTCACAAAGACTTCAATTATCTTTCCTGTCCTCACTGTGAGGAGTCATCAGTGATGACAGAACTAGAATTGCAGGGTATTTTTCCTTTAAACGAATTTCAGATTATGCAGCCCAACCCCAAACACACACACACACACACAGTTAATCTAAAAACAAAGAGATAGCAATAATGTAAAATGATGTGTCTCTAATAACATTAAAGTTTGTCAATACAGATTCTTAGTGTGAAGTTTTGTTGGGCTAATGCATACATTCCATTCCATTAGACAGTAAGTCCCTCAGAGAGATATTTTTGAGTGAAGCAATTGCCTTTGCGGCACTCAACAGTGGATGCTGCACTTGTAAAAATGAAACATGGGATTGTAACTGGCATCATGTTTTACTTATAGTTTGAGCTAAAGTTTGAACATTCTCTGATGTAATTTGAATTATTGGTAGGCAAACTATATATATATGTGTGTGTTTCTCACGTGTGTGTGTGTGTGTCTAAAGATAGAGATAGATAGATAGATAGATAGATAGAGAGTCTTGCTCTATTGCTAGGCTGGACTGCAGAGACGTGATCATAGCTCACTGCAGCCTCAAACTCCTTGGCTCAAGCCACTCTTCCACCTCAGGCTACCAAGTATCTGAGATTACAGGCAGGCACCTCCATGCCAGGCTAATTTAAAATAAAAATTTTGTTTCTGAGACAGTGTCTTGTTATGTTGCCCAGGATGGTCTCAAACTCCTGGCCTTCTGTGATCCTCCTGCTTCAGCCTCCCAAGTAGCTAGGATTACAGATGCAACCACTGCACCCAGCCAGATTATATATTTTAAAATAAACTTAATTGTTTCTAACTATACATAAAAATATGAAGAGGACCAGAATGTCGGATAGTCTTGCCATTGACAAGGAAGATAACAGTAGAATGAAATCATGGACTAATGACCTCTGAAGTTATGGGTAAACAATGTTGAGGCCAGAAACTCATTCTGAAGGCTTTTCCCATAGAGACAACCAAGTTTCTAGAATTTCCCTCTAAGAACCTGGATGAGTTGGAATTATATGTAGAAGCAGTATATTAAATGATGCTGGGAAACAACCATTGAAAGGAAGTTCTGGTTCCTAATCTTTGTGAAAAGTGCAATGGATTTAAGAATGCATACTTTAAAATGTGGAGAGCATTGTTGAAGCCATTTAAGGTCTTTTAAACTCACCTGTGGATTTTCACAACATGCTGAGGCATATATTAACTTTCTAGGTTAAGAGATTTGAGCATAAAGTAAAATCAGAGGACACTAGAGTTTAACTTAGCTAACAAACACACAACCACAACACTGCTAGATCTAGTCTGTGAGTTAGCATTCTCTCTTTAATGTTTTATCAAATAGCCTGGCCATTTTCCTGAGGAAAATGGAGCTTGAATCTGATTTTAATCAACAGTGAAGGGTTTGAATACTTCTAAATTTTCCAGGTGGAATGAAATTGTTGTCATCTTCAACTTCAAGAGAGTTTAATTTTAGGGGTTAGTATCACAAAGGATTGACAAGTCACACATTGAAGTGGTAATGGTCCTTTGAGAGGAGAACAAGAACATTGGTCTTCTCAAGGTGCTAAAGTGATGATGAGAGGCTTAAGTGTCCTTATATGTCATTAATGTGAAAAGCAAAGTATATTCAAGTTGAATTTGCAGTGTCCTCACCATGACAAGTTTATGGCCTCTTACAGATTAATAGCATGGCTGCCAAAATTGCTTCTGTGCCTACACATTAAAGGTTCACAAATGAAACAGGTGTTTTTTTGATTTAACCTCTGAGGATATTTATTTGTTCTCCTTCCCTATTAGCCTTTTTACTGAATTGAGCAATTAGAACACTTCCTTTGCTGAAAAATGGCAAGCAGTAAGGTGATTTTTCCTTTCCTCTTCGTAGTAAACAGTAAATTAATTTTAAAAATAGGTACTTACACACATTAAAAATGGCACTAGAAAGACCCATAGTGCTAAGCCACTTTAGAATGCAGGTTGCTTAACTCATCCACACTTTCAAGTTGCTGATCTCTTTGCAAAATTTGCTGTGCATATGTAGTTCAGCTTCAACTACATGATTTTGTTTACATGATTAGTGCTGACCAATTAGCAAATCATTTTTTAAACACCCCAACTAGTCAATAAGTAACATGTTTACATGTATTAGTCATGTTTAACATGTAGGAGTCAGTTCTCACACTAATAAAGACATACCTGAGACTGGGTATTCATAAAGGAAAGAGTTTTAATTGACACACAGTCCAGCATGGCTGGAGATGCCTCAGGAAACTTACAATCATGGCATAAGGGGAAGCAAACACGTCCTCTTATACATGGCGGCAACAAAGAGAAGTGCCCAGCCACGGGGGGAAGAGCCCCTTATAAAACCATCAGATCTCGTGAGACTTACTCACTATCACGAGAACATGAGGGTTAACTGCCCCTGTGATTCAATTACCTCCCACTGGGTCCCTCTCACAACATGTGGGGATTACATGAACTATATTTCAAGATGAGATTTGGGTGGAGAACAGCCAAATCATGTCAACATGTACTTATCTTTCTGGGTGATACCTCCTGCAATATGTGATAATAGCAGGAGGTGAAAGTCACATACTTATTTTAAATTCTCTTTCTTGCCCACAGAAGGATTGCTTAGATCTTGCCTAACTGTTTTTAGGTCTATTTTTAATATCTAATGCATGAGGTGGGACTAATTGATACGATCATAATTCTAGTGCTTGTCAATTGTTGAGTGACTCAGGGAAAGTTATGTTCTCTGATTTATAAATTCTATGTGCAAAGAGAAGGTATCAAGTGTAATGGACCTACTTTACAAGAATTTTGAGAAATGCAACTTTGAAAATCAAACAGAAAATGTTCCCAAACCCAAAGTGCTGTATAAATATTTAATTATGTTAGCACTGATTAAAATGCCCAGTAGAGATATATTAGTCTTGTTTTAGACCATCTATCCTCTCTTTTTTTGCAAGAAATTCCAGATAGACATTAAGCATCACTCTTGATTAAACATCTATACAAATAAGTGCCTTGGTACTGCTGTTTTTGATTCATGTCTAAATAGCCTAGGGCCTAGGCACTTGTGGTTAGGTTTAATTTTCTGCAAGGATACTTTGCATCTTACATTGGAATGGTTCTTTAGGGAAATGTACAGCTCCTTTTGAGAGTAGTTTGAGGACAGTCACTGATGTCCTAGGGAAGTTGCTGCCAGACGTTTTATTTCATGTCCCTGATATTTACTTCATAAACAAGCTAACAAATGAGGTTTGGGTAGTTTACTGAGGGGGAAGCAATGCTTGCAGTGAAGGGAGAACTGGGTGAGATTGGGCCCTGCACTGCTAAGGGACAGAGGAGAGGATCTCTGCTCAAAAGACTGTGGGAGGGGTTAGGCAGAATTTGCATCTCCAGGGGTGAGCCCTCTGAGCTTGCCAGGCAGGGAGTATTTCCAGAGAAATAAAATGCATCTATCCATCCCACATCATCTCCCCATAGAAGGACCCTCTAATGATGGCTATCTGACTATAAATACTTTTTGTTAAACTAAGGAAACCACTAAAGTTCATTTGAAATGAAATGTCTGGCTTTTTTTTTTTTTTTTTAGTAATTTACTAAACACCTTGAACCTGATAGGCTGCCAACATGGTATGTTGAGATTTTTTCTTTAATCACTTCTTTTAACTATTAATTATCTTTCCTTGTTTAATCACCTGCATTCTAATTCAGTCTAGCCTGTCCACTGTCTCCCAGTGTTGGGCAGCCCTTAACCTCAGGGACTAGGAGCAGAGAAGGGGCAAGATGTACCCTTTTTAATCACTCCTCTTCATTCTTACATTTCTGCTTCTTTGGGATT
Source organism: Homo sapiens (assembly GCF_000001405.40). Taxonomy (NCBI): domain Eukaryota; kingdom Metazoa; phylum Chordata; class Mammalia; order Primates; family Hominidae; genus Homo; species Homo sapiens. Next base: position 105,653,835 of record NC_000003.12, read on the forward strand.
GGGATAGGGGAAGAAGAGTTAAGGAAAGGAGTAAAATTCTTTTTACAAGTGCTATTGTAGGGCATGTTTGATTTTGTATTTTGCCCATACAGTAAGTTCTCAAAGGTGGACTTTGTTGTCAAGCTCAAGTGGGAGGACACTCGGTTAGTGTCTGACACATCAGATACATCAGATATCCACTGGCTTGACTTCCTTGTGCCTAGTCCAGCAGTGTATACCCCAAAGTCTCTTGCTGCTTGGGTTACTGTGGCTGACAGGTGGCCTTCTTGGGTCCTGCCAAGACAACTCCAGCTCAGCTGCCTTGACAGGGCTCTGCCTATCCCAGGGGCGTATGATGTATCCTTGTTCTCCCAATGGTGGAGATGCTTATTACCTGATTCACTGTTGACTCCTCTCTAGTTATGTTCTGCTCTGCTCTAGTAACCGCAGATGGCAGATCAGTAAGTCCACTGTGTGGACTCTAACAGAATAAAATGCCAGTTCCCTAATATCTATAATTGGTGTTCTCTGGGAGCTATCATTAGTTGAATTGGGAGAGGTGGACCAAACCCAGAACATTCTCACTCATCACTCACTTTTCCCAGGTAACCCTCCAGCCCATCCTCTTCTGCTCATGATGACTCTTAGGACACAGGAATGGAAGTTCTGCCACCAGCCTCTTAATGAGTCCCACAGAGGTTTCCCGGGGGGAGGGGGGGCTTTTAGGAGAGAAGAACAAGTCTTCTCAAAGCACTGAAGTGATGATGAGCGGCATCTCACCTTTGCTTAAATAACAATATTTTATCATGTGTGCTCTTCCTATTTGAAAAGCTTTAACTCTGAATTTCTTTCTTAATACCAACAACAAATCCTTGCTCCTTTTAGGCTTACAAAAGACTACTTAGTCTTATGGGTTGTCAAACTTTCTATTAGAAATATAATTCCCAACTTCCCTTCCACAGTCCTAAAAGAGGCAGGGTTGTCGAAAGCATTAAATGCTTTGACACTAAGCTCCTTACACATAATAAAGGCTCAATAATTAGTTCTTAAGCACTTATCATACAGACGTAATTCTAGTACAATGTGGTATGTTGTACACACATTTTTGTACTGGAATTACTTGCTTATGTGTATCTTCCATTTCATGGTATATGCTTCCAGGAAGTAATTGTTATTACTATGCACGGAACTTTGCATGTAACAATTAGTTTCACAATATTCTGCCATGATTCTTGATATAAAAGCAATTATTAACATTGTTATCTCTGTTGTTCTCTCCCCACTATATACTGATCAGTGAAAAAATGATTTAAGAAATGAGGAATTTAAAGACCAGATGGTACTGTTGATCAGGAATTATCAATTATATATTATAGTACATCATCCTGAAGGCTTTCAGCATTTCCCAGATATGATATTTCTTACTTGGAACCTTGATACACCTTTGACATTCAGATCTATGACATAGGGGCAATTTTATCTATTAGGCTACCTTAAAATTGTGATTTTGGTACTTAATAACTAAATTACCTAGGATGGGTACACCTTGCACCACTTTGTTCAATTAGACATGAAAAAGAAAAATTACATCATAGAAATGCTCTAAAATTTTTGTGTTCATTTGAAAAATAAAGTACCAACTCTGCATTTAGTTAACGTTCATTTTATAAAATACTTTAAAAGAACAGATAAAGTACTTGAGGTTACATAATAACCAGAATTGAAAAGGAATGAATAAAATATAAATTAATTGAACATATGACTATTTTGCCACATCACACAAGTTTTAAAAAGGCATTTTAAAAAACAATAAAATAGTAATTGGGGAAAAAACCCTTCACTCTATTGGTGTCTTTGTCTGGAAAACTTTCCCAGAATCACTAAAATTCCAGGTCAACAGGTAGTACCTGAATTATTCAAGTATACTGTAATTTGCTTCCAAATCTGTTAGCTGAAGAGAGAAACTAAAATTTTATCCAAGTTAATTCAGTGCAAATCAAAGCTTCAAGTTGAAAATCTGAGAGAAAAAATAACGTTCGAACTGTAGGAAATGCTTCTGGAACTGAAAAATTAAAAAATCACATTATGAAGAAATCTTTGCAAGTGTTCTTGGTATATGAAATGCTGAGTTAAGAAATGGGACCCTTTTAAGTTGCAGTGAGGGTTCTATTATGAAGACTATTTGCAATGTGGGCAAAAGGGAAACAGAGAGGGAAGAGCTGAAGGTTGTATTTGTGGAAGGAAATTCAAGTTAAGCAAAAACTGCTTTTATTCAATTCTAGAAAAATTTGGTGAGATATATCATACATTAGGGGATAAAACAGATTATGGAGATAAATTTACTGGAATATAATTGAGGATAAGTCCTTCTATCTCCAGAACATGTTTGGGTTGGGTGAGAAGGGTTGATATTGGCCACATATCAGTAAGTTAATTTGTCTTAATTTTATGTATTATATGAAATGCTGACTTAAAAAAAAATTGTTACCAAATCTTGAGAAATGGAAGGAATGTCTAACTTTTTGGATCACAGTGAAACAAAGTCTGGATCACTTCCAGACATCAACGAGCAGTCGCTTTTACAATAAAAAAAAATTTTTTTAGGTTTAATTTCATAGGTGATAGATAGCAATGGGTCTTTCTTGACAGTGTTTAATAGAAAGTTTTCCTCTTTTCATTCCATTACGTATGAATTTTTGATTCATTCTTTTTAAATGACAATACTAATGGTTGCTATTGAGTACAAGATGCAGAGATTTTGCTGGAGGCTGGTAAATTTTCTCTGCAAAACAGATATCCCCCCACCCCCCACCCCCAAATTTCAGGTCCAGGTTTGCTATATCATCACTAGTCCTTTTTTAATTCTCACTGGAAATTTTCAAATATTGTTTATAAACTGAATGAGAATGTGCTATGTTCTCTAACATTCTTATTTTACATCATTCTCTAATATATTAGGAATGTTGCAACAATGTTATCACAATGAAGTGGCAACTTTTGGCCTTTAGACTGTACCTATCATCAGCAATCATAAAAAGGCCAAAATAAACAGTGCTATTCCAAGGTGACATCTGAAACTGTTAAAACAAGTGAAAAATCATAATGACAAAACAGGGGTTCATAAAGCAAAAGAAAATTTGCCAATGCAATTTTAAAAGTGTAAGAAACTTCACTCATGTACCTACTCATGGGAAGAACATCTAAGGCAAATGAAAAATTCCCCTCCAGGGACATAACCAGCTCAGAACCATCTGAAAAAATTCATACAAAAGCAGAAATTACCCAAGGCCTGTGAGTCCTCATCTCATACCATGAAAGCCAGACTGTCAAAAAAAGGGCACATGTCACTTTGCAAAGGAATGTATTAACTCCTCTCCCAGGGTCAACTTAGTCTACGTGTCTTTTGTATAACATTAATTTCCACCAGATCTACTAGATGTTCAGTCATGTCCTTTCAGGTCCTGAAGGCAGGCTCACTCTCTGATGCATCTTTTTATATCATGGTGGGTGTGAAGTGAAAAGAGGAGACACAGAAATATGCACAAACCCACAATTAGTCCATATTTAGAAAACTTTCTGTGGGTTCAAGCATTTACACAGAGATGATTTTATCTCATTTCTCCATTAATTTCCCATTTGAAATGAAAACCAGCTAATTCTAAATTCTAAAGCCCTGGGGGAAACCTTCCAGGCTTTGTCTATCAGACAGACTTTGTCATAAAAAACACAGAAAAACAAAAATAAAACATTACGCTGGAATCAGCTTTTGAGAGTTTGTGCTTTAAAAACACAGTGCCTAACAGCACCAAGCATATCATAGATGCTCAATAAATATTTGTAGATTTATTAAGAGTAATAACATGGTGTTTAAAGAACCAACCACCATTTTGTAAAATAGGCAAAACTACATTAATTTCTTTCACCTGATTTGATAAAGCAGTGTGGAGCAATGAATGAGAGAATCTGCAAATTAAATATGAACTCTAATTTGATTGCAGAGAGAAAATTACTGAGAACTTTGCAAAAAACATTGCCACAGTAGCCTTGACACTCAACAGTGCAACGAAGAGTTAATGTTTCCACTGCAATATGAACTGGTTCCCACAGCTCTTAGGAGATAGAGTGTAATCACTTAAATGGGAAATGAACTCTAATTCCACTTGAGAAAAGGTATGTTATGTTCATAATTTTATCTGAAAATTATTAATATATTTCAGGGAGATGGTCCTCTCATTCAGCATCCCTCAAAGTAATGCAGGCATAAGTATCAGGGGACCTTGTTATATAACTTCAGTACAGCATTGTCTTATACAAGTGTTCTCTCTTCCACATCTGTAGTAGCTGCTTTCTAATATTGTAGATTTTTACAGTTGTGACACCCCTGGGATGACAGACATGAGAATATGGAGGATTAAAGGTTACAAAACTTAAACAAAAAAGGGAAGCTCCTCTATGTTATGTGAAAACCCCTTACAAAAGGCAGTTTATTGACAAATAAATGCTTTATACATTCAGGTTTTTCCCATCTCTCAATAGTGATGGTTTCCAAAGAAGAAACTCAGTAGTGAAGAATACATACTTTTTTTTTTTTGCATTAGTTTGATCAGTTGAAAATCAGAACCTTCAAAGCATCTTGTGAATGAGAGAAATGGAACTGGACCTGGGCAAGGCATGGGGATGGTAGAGATCCATATGAATAAATGATTTAGCTGTTGATGTGGACAGCAAGAGAGTTGGTGGGAAATGTTACAGCAGACCTGACCACGCTACAAAGGGTCTGTGAAGAACACAGTACAGGTATCAAAACACCAAAACAAAACTAAACTAAAAACAAGAACAAACTGCAACTTTGCCAAACTGTAAACAAGGTAAAGCATTTCACAGGTTCAAAGTTCAAGGGAAGTAAACGTCTTTAAATTATTTTTGTCAGTTCAACCCTGATTTAAAAATATGGCTAGCAAAAACAAGGAAGCCACAGCTGTCGACATCCTGAGCAAGCATCGGTCTCCTTTGAGAAGCTGCACTCCCAAGCCTCTTCTCAAGCTGCTACACGAGGAGGAGACACTTCTCTCTTGAATTCCATCTCAGTTCTCTTTATTTCCACACTCTTGGAATACATCGATTGCTTTCCATTTTGGTGTCTACAGTTCTGGCTGCTATAGATTTAGACGTGGGGATACTGGAGGAGGGAAGGCAAATTCTCGGAGGATGCTCCGGGCAACTTCGACATTATTCTGGGCTATCTCTAAGGCTCTCTTCACCTCTTCAAAGGCATAACCCTCTCCCATGAGTTTTGCAATTTTTGCATCGACATTTTCCAATGCCGCCTCAGGCCCATGGGGTTTTCTGTGGTGAATTTCTGGTGCAGTCCTGCGCGGTCGTGGTTTAGGGGGTCTGGCTGGTGCCTGTGAACCATCTGTGTAGATTTTTAAAGAGAGATACTATTTAAACAGTGAAATAAAAATGAAGGCAAGATAACATAACAGCATTATCTCATTTCCTATGGAAATATTATTTCTTGTTTTCTTTACAAATAAACTTTTTTTCAATTTTTCCATACTATTGTGAGATAGGTAGTATTATCCTCATTTTGAACAACAGAAAATTAAGGTACAGTGTGTTGGTAGTTCCACTGAGAAATTTACACATCTCCTTCTCTATTCCACATTTTATTCTTCAAGCCATATGTGGTCAGAGAGATAGAGAAAGGAAAAAATAATTAAAATAACTATCTAAAAAGGGAAGCCTTTCACTTTGTTTAGCAATACAGTTCACACTCTACTACAGCACAGGCTCTGGTTGATGGTTCTCCAGAGGAACAATCTTGGGAGGTTTCTATGAGAGGAAACTTTGTTCACAAGCTCACAAACAGCCATGGCAGAACGTCCCCACAGGTCCTGAGTCCCATCCATGTCACAGCAGAACTGCTCTAAAACAGATGCTCTGTAGCATTTTCCTAGCTGATTTTTCAAGTTAATAATCTGTGCCTTACTGATGCTAGGAGAAAAAAAAAACAAAATAGTAGATGCTTTGACTCTACTGTTAGTCAACAGGCTGAACGGAAGGAAACTCAGTGCTTTGCTCAAATACTTTATACAGATTGCAATGTAGGAAGTTTTGCTCAAGAAAAAGCAAACCTAGAAGAAATATTAGGAGTAGAGAATTGGGTTCTAGATTAGTCCCTTGGTGATAATACAGCCTCCAATTTAAACCAATGACATTGGCACCCATGAATGGAGAGTAACCTTAAGAAAAAAGAAAAGGTCCCAGGTCATGGGCTAGCTAACTTGACAGGGCACTTTCATCATGTATTTCCTGGTTATGTATAGCACTTTATCTCAAAAGCCTAGACAAAAAATACACACATACACACACTATACGTATACATGAGATGGAGTTTTACTCTTGTTGCCCAGGCTGGAGTGCAATGGCGTAGTCTCAGCTCACTGCAACCTCCACCTCCCGAGTTCAAGCAATTCTACTACCGCCTCAGCTTCCCAAGTAGCTGGGATTACAGGCGTGCACCACCATGCCTGGCTAATTTTTTTTTTTTTTCCCAGTGGAGACAGGGTTTCACCATGTTGATCAGGCTGGTCTTGAACTCCTGACCTCAAGTGATCCACCCACCTTGGCCTCCCAAAGTGCTGGGATTACAGGAGTGAGCCACCGCACCTGGCCCATATATACATTTTAAAATGTCATCTTTATGTCATGAAATACACTTATGGATTTAAGACTATCTAGACAACAATATTTAATACCTTTCTCTCAGACCACTGACAAATGCCAAACAATAAATTCAAGGACAGAGTTAAGTGAATGGTGATGTGAGGTTAAAAGCCAAACGTCTCATGCTTAATGTTCCCATCTTGTCTCCCCACTCCTGCTGCCTCAGCAACTTTCCCAATGGCTTCAGGAGATACTGTAAGCTGATATTTTCAATAATAATAAACGTAAATAATAAAAGCTAATCTGATGTATTATTCAATATTTTTCCTTTCTAAATCAAAAGATGTATGATATTTTTCCAGGAGAAGGTAACTTGTAAAAACATCATCCTATATACAATTATAGCAATATCAATATAACATACATAAAACAAAGCCTCTAGGATAAAAGCATTTGTTTCCACATCAAATAGGATGTCTTCTTCTTTTTTTTTTTTTTTTAAATGAGATGAAGTCTCATTATGTTGACCAGGCTGGTCTCGAACTCCTGTCCTCAGGCAATCCTTCCATCTTGGCCTCCCAAAATGCTAAAATTACAGGCGTGAGCCACCACGTCCGGCCATGATGACAGTCTTATTTTAAATTATTCCTTTTTTGTAACAAAATGTCCAGTTTTAGAAAATATTATAGCTGTAGACAATGTATATTAAAGTATGCCCATATATAAGAACATATAATTTCTGGTTCTTGCTAATATCTGTACTGTTTCTTGCATCTGTAATTAAACATCTCAAACTATTATCGTCTGATAAACTGCGTTTCTTAGTATGTTTTGTAGTTCCATTTATTTTCCTATTATTTTCATTATGTCATACAGGAATGGACAATAAATTATGTTTTGCTTTTAATCATTTTCAAAACTATTAGAAATTATTGAAAGCTTTCCTTTAATCAATTACCAAAAAATTCATACATTTAAATCATGTCTGTTCTGAGACACTTTTAGATGAGAAAAGTACCTAGACTTTGATACAAAAGTACCTAGACTTAGAAAACAATTAACTTGTTTTCTACGGGTAATTTTCTAAGAGATTTTTAATATTGTTATTTTGTCTGTCCAGGATACTGAGATGTGCACATGAATGCCAGGCATGTTTGAAAAGAACAGCTGTGTATACAAGTGGGATGAATACTATGACGAATGCCTCTAATAAATGGTATAACTGGCAATTGAATCTTAAATCTCAGTTTGGCCGCTAAGATCTTGGGCTAAGCAATTTACTTTCACAATTCTCATTCTCCAAATCTACTTTATATATCTGTGTTTAGAGGTATTATTTATCCCTTTCAACCAGGTAGTATAACAATTAATGTAATATACAGTATATGGACTGAGGAGACCATTAAAAAGAAAGAACAATGAATTAATATTTATAATGATAAGTGCTATACTCAAATGCTATAAACCAGCAATTACTATAACAGGAATGCCAGAGAAGTGTGAAAGAACAAAGAACACAAAATTTGTTGTGAGTATCTGATTCTACAGAAAGCCTTCTAGCAGAATATTAAAAAGCAAGATCTGGTGCAACCTGAACTACTAGTGGAAGCTGTTAAAAAGTGGGGAGGAGGAGATCATTTCCACACTGACCATTAGAGCAAATTGCTTAGAACCGATTACTCTTTCTGTCTCTTCCCAAAGCCCAGACGCAGCCTTCACTTTCTCCACTTTTCTTTTTCACAGTACCTAAAAGTGGATTACACCAGGTCCTCATTTACTTTAGCACTTTCGAATGTGTAGGGTAGTGGAAGGAAGCAATGAAATGAAGATGAAACTATCTTCTGGTCCCCTAAGATTATTATATTGCAGTTTGGGAGCACACTGAAATAACTATAAATTTTATCAACCCTGTGGAATTTCTGTACCTGAATATACATCATCCTTAAAAATAGTTATTTTGGAAAAGCATGTGTTTGCTCTAGTGCTACCATCCATGTTCATGGTATTTTTGAACTCTTATGAGTAATTGCAGTGGTATCAAAATAAGTACAAGAATGTGAGCCACAGAATATAAATAGTACATCTTCTGGGTTACCAATTTTCTTAAAAGATATAAGGTCATTAATATTTTAAAGCACTGAAATGAATACAGATACACTAAGGAGTAAAATATAAAGTTTGCACAAATTTTTGAGACAAAATAGAAACAATGTCTTGCACTAAAAAACTAAATATTGTCCTCTTTTACCTAATGTCCCAGCCCTTGTGTTGTTCACTGTCAACTCTTCTTTGAGAAAGAAAGATTTGAGAAGCCCTGGTTTAGGAGTAAATTTTGATTCAGCTTTCCTTTTCTGAGCATATAAAAGAAGAGAGTGATGTGGCCGACCGCCACTGCTACTACTTGAGACCATCAATACTACAGTTACTATAATACTGTTACCACTTGAGACTGTCATTAGGAGAGTTACTACTGTTACTACTTGAGACCTTCACTACAACAGTTACTGCTGTTACTACTTGAGACCGTCACTACGAGAGTTACTACTGTTACTACCTGAGACCTTCACTATCACAGTTACTGCTGTTACTACCTGAGACCTTCACCATGACAGTTACTGCTGTTACTACTTGAGACCTTCACTATCACAGTTACTGCTGTTACTACTTGAGACCTTCACTATCACAGTTACTGCTGTTACTATTTGAGACAGTCATTACAACAGTTACTTCTGTTACTACCTGAGACCATCATTACAAGACTGAACTAAGGGAAGAACCTAGAAATGATAACAAAAAACAAAAGAAACTGTTTTAAGGAAAGGGTCTGAGGAAGAAGAAGTGAGCAAAGGCAGCAGCCCTGAGCTTCCATAGCCCTTTGTATTTATTGGGTAGAAAGAGCAGGGATGAGGAGGTAACGATTGGTCAGCTGCTTGACTGATCACAGGTTCACATTATTGTTAACAGGCTTCAGATGTGCCTAATCAAAAGCAACACTTGTGCCTGGGTCGTGACTGCCCTCAGCATTCCTCCTGGGCAGCAGATGCAGTTTGTCAGTTTGTCAACATTCTGCTTTTATGAGAACAGTTTGCTGTTCACTCATATAGCCTCCAGTGGTATAGTGAGTTGATCACGACCCTCATTCTTTCAGCCTCCAACAGAGTGACAAACAGAACATTCCTGGATTGCATGGGAATTAGCCTAACATGGTTGGAATAATACCCAGAATGATTACTCTAGGTCATACATTCTAGACGGGGGCAATCATTGGTTCTTGTGGGATGAAAGAAAACAATTTTAGATGGTAAAATGGTTTGTGGCCTTCCAAAGAGCCATGGTACATAGAGATATACCTCTATCTCTATGTCTACTAAGCACATCTGTAGTTTAAACTTTCATTATTGCTGGGGACAGAAAGCTTATTAGGAAAAAAAAAAAAAGTGTCCAAAAGGCCCGTAGGCAGACCATATTTTTTTTTTTTAAGTGAGACGCACTGCTGTATATCTACATAACCTCCATTTAAAGAACTGAGGATATTTCATTTCAGTGGCTGTCAATTATTTTGCCACAAAAAGTCTTTATTACTCCCCTCATCATCTAAAGATTGGGTTGGGTTTTCTTTTTCTATATTCTGAAAGATGTGTCTAATAAGCAAATGCTATTGTATTGATGAATACATTTTCCCATTTTCTATTATACTGGATCATGTTCAACAATAAATATAACACTGAGCTTCTGTATATCTAGGTCACAGCAAAGGGATTTAATGTGAAAGTTTTCTAGTATATAAAGTTAGGGTTTCTGTTAGACTTTCAAAATGTTAAAAATAGTATTTGATAGTACATAAAAATAATGGATTGTCATACAATAATTTAAAATGACATTTATTTTTTAAAATAATGTGGTAAAATACTTATAATACTCCTAAATGGAACTGAGATAGAATTGACATATTGAGTATGATCTTAAGATCGTAAGTGAAAATGTGCATAGACAAAACATTTAGAAGGCTGCACTTGAAAATGGCAATAATGTTCCTTATTGAAGATAGGGTTTTAAGTGATTGCTTTTTCTTATTAATTGTTTTCTCTGTAATTTCCTTTTATTTTCCAATGCGTGTATAATATGCGCATAATTAGAAAAACCACCACCAACAACAAAATAGTCTCAGATCTCCTCTGATACTCTTAAAGGCCTCAGCTGCACAAGTATCTAAGACTGAGAACCAGAGATCGATTTCGCTCATGTGAAAAATATAGGAAGTACATAGTGAGTGGCTTTCCTAAGGTCATGTGAAAAATAATCAGAATCTAGATTTTGAAATTTCTAGTACAGTTTTACTATTTCTAAAACCCTTCATTATTTTGTCATCACTACTATTCCATCACTATTATCATGATTTTACCACTGAACATCTCCAAACTCAGTCTGGAGACGTGAGATGCATGTGTACATTTTTTTCTAACTTAATTCTGGCATGATGATGGGATAACAACATAAACTTTATTAACAAATTTTTAAAAAACTGAAACTGATGTAAATTCTATCAGGCTTACACTTTCTGCAGCAGCTTGAGTTAGTTACTAAACTTTGTTATGTCTTTCTTTCTTCTATAAATTGACATTAATAGTATCTATTTCAGGCCAGGCGCAGTGGCTCACGCCTATAATCCTAGCAGTTTGAGAGGCTGAGGCAGGTGGATCACCTGAGGTCAGGAATTCAAGACCAGCCTGACCAATATGGTGAAACCCTGTCTATACTAAAAATATAAAAACTGCCTATAGTCCCAGCTACTTGGGAGGCTGAAACAGGAGAATTGCTTGAACCCGGAACGTGGAGGTTGCAGTGAGACAAGATTGCACCACTGCACTCCAGCCTGCTGGGTGACAGAGCGAGACTCTGTCTCCAAAAAAATAAATAAATAAATAAATAAATAAATATATATATATATATATATATATATACACACACACACACATATATATACACACACACACACATATATATATTTCAGAGTGGTTAGGAGAAATAAAATTATATCTATTTCTATATTACACAGTAAAAATAAATTTATATTTATATCTATACCATATTATATAACCATATATTTGTATAACAATATCAAATATATAAATGTATAATTATAAACAGATAATATAAAATATACATTATTAAATAAAATAACATGAATATTTATATTTTACTGCATAACTATATAAATACAATTATATATAATATTAACTTATATAAAATTTATATATCTGTATCTGGCTGGGCGTGGTGACTCATGCCTGTAATCCCAGCACTTTGGGAGGCCGAGGTGGGCGGATCACAAGGTCAAGAGTTTGAGATCAGCCTGGCCAATATGGTGAAACCCCGTCTCTACTAAAAATGTAAAAATTAGCTGGGCATGGTGGTGGGCGCCTGTAGTCCCAGCTACTCAGGAGGCTGAGGCAGAACTGCTTAAACCCAGGAGGTGGAGGTTGCAGTGAGCCAAGATCGTGCCACTGCACTCTAGCCTGGGCAACAGAGTGAGACTCGTCTCAAAAAAAAAAAAAATTATATATCTGTCTCTAAAATACTTAGCAAAGCATCAGGACTATAGTAAATGCTTAACAAACTTAACGAATTTTAATTAGACAAAATAATATTGTATATATTATCTGAAACATACTGTCTAAATTTACTTAGTAAACCAGTGACAATTCTTGGGACAGATATCAAAACTCTTAGACTACTGACCTTCTCAACTATAACAATAACAGAATTAGAAAAAAATATAAATACACTTAATTGATCAAGGAATAAAAGAAATCTCAAACACATTATGATTAACTTTGTTATTCTACTAGAAGTTGGATCAATTAATTCTGGGATTCATTTTTATGCCATAAGGTTGAATTACTGCCTCTATAGAAATACTGCTGGCCACGCGCAGTGGCTCAAGCCTGTAATCCCAGCACTTTAGGAGGCTGAGGTGGGCAGATCACAAGGTCAGGAGTTCGAGACCAGCCTGGCCAACATGGTGAAACCCCATCTCTACTAAAAATACAAAAATTAGCCGGGCATGATGGTGGATGCCTGTAATCCCAGCTACTCGGGAAGCTGAGGCATGAGAACTACTTGAACCTGGGAGGTGGAAATTGCTGGGAGCTGAGATCACGCCACTGCACTCCAGCCTGGGCGACAGAGCGAGACTCCATCTCAAAAAAAAAGAAATACTGCCTATAGAAGGACATGATTTAATAAACTAAATTACAAATAAAAAAATCTTCACATACACTGTTTTAAATATATCCAGAAAATGGTTATTTAATCTTAGATTTGTAAGGAAAACAACTCTAGGTTCTCTGGCTTTCAAACTGAAGCTGTCTGTAAGCCCCAGTATTTCACATAGCTAAACTGTGGGAAAACTCAACATTGCCATTTCCTTTGTTGAAACACAAAATCTTAAAGACACATAATCTACCTTAAAATTCCAACCCTTGCGTGAAGTGAAGCCACGATTTCCAATTGAGATCTTAACAGAGATAAACTATTGAATACTTGGTCCTAATATAAAATGTATTCAACATTCCAACAATTCTCCTTTAAGCTAGTAAACTAATGGTAGTATTGAAATTAATTCATTTTGTAATGAGATCTCCTTTATTTTATAATGAGATTGGCTTATTTGGCAATAAGGTCTTTTAATGGTTTCAAACACATTTGAGTTGTGCTAAAATCAAGCATTGTTTTCAAGTGTTACCTTGAACTTCCTTCTAAATACTAACAATATGAAAAATCACCTCAAGAGTGAATGGTGCACTTCATTAATACAGCCTTTTAGTTTTCAAAGAATGGTATTCAAACTGTAGTACAATATGTCTTACAACAAGAGAAAAGCAAACTGAGAAATTTGTAAAACCTCACACATAGATAGAAGAGACATGTGCCCCATGTGAATAATACATCCATGTAAAGAAACAAGCAGATTACTAGCAAAAATGTTTGTCCTATATACCGATATATGTGAATTTAACATGGGCTGGTAAGCTCTTCTTATATCTGGACTACCTATGATACGTTCATATATTTAAATTTCAATTATACATTTAGAAAAACTTTAAGAAAAGCATAAAATATTTTCTTTGGGAGGAATAAACATTTAGAAGGCTCTTTATATATGTAGACATACATATACATGCAGACATACTTTTTAGATAAGAAAACAAGGGAGATATTTTAAAATCAATGAAACTACATTTTAAACTTCTTTAGAAATATACTTTCCATAGAAGCCTATTCATAAATGACTATCAATTATTTAGACAGCCATAAGTGATAACAGAACTTGAATTCATAAGGCAGAGCAATCATACCAGAACCCCATTTGGTCATCTTAAAAAGGCCTTAATAAAAACAGATTAATTACTGCAAAATAAGAGCTATTAGAATCCTAAAGGCGCATATGCATTCAGTCTCAAGGGTTGAATGGAAAGACCTCATCTAGAAGGCAAGCTCAGTCTCTCTGCTGATGTAAAATAAACTAGTGAACAGCCTGGTAGGCCTGTGAACTTCATGTGAACAAACATATGTTGGAAAAAAGTATCTTATTTTCTGTGGTTGACTGTGTTTGTAAAGAGAATTTAGGGAGTAGATTGAAATATTTGATGTTACAGCTAGCTGGGCCCTCAGAGTAATAGTCAGGAGTCTTTTATTACTTAGGTAAAAGCCAGTTCAGGCTTCTGGCAAATGGCTATTCGGGGATATTTCAACAAGGTTTGTGATTTGAAGTTCTTCCAGACATTTCTAGTGTAATGCTAATAGGGATTCATACTGCTTGAAATCATATATGTGAATGATGTTCCTCTGGGCTCTACAACACCCACTTATTATGGAGAAAACTGTAAAGAAGCTGTGAAAACACTGTGTTTTGGCTACAAGTTTTCCCCTAACTAAAGTATAGGTTTCTTTTAATCCAGAGCTGGTGGTACTGAATATGTTATTTTAAATCAGTCATAGCACTTTGCTCAAAGTTATATTTTAATACTATTTTCTTTAAAAAAAATTGCTTCCTTATATTATATAGAAGCTGTCAGATATTGTCTTTCTTTCTTGACTTTCATGTTTTGTCATCAAATTATTTTGACTGGAATTACAGGCTACTCATGGATACATATGAAACCTTAGAATGACTAGAAATAAACTGATAAGAGAACACTGGCCAAAATTTGAAAAGATTAAAAAGATTTTCTATGCTTTCCTGAGTTACATGCAAGCAGTTAAACATATAAATACACAGGGATTTCTGCATCTCCCATGCATGGCATCGAGCACGTAAGAACTACCGTACTGACAATTCTTAAAACAGCTCATTAATTATCTTGATTCAGAAGTTTCAGAATGTATTGCTAATAGTATTAGCAAGTCTTCTATGAACTGAGGTTTTAGCTTAAAAAAATTTTGAAATAAGACAAAAGTTCATATAGGAAAACTTCTGATATTCACAAATATGTGACAAAAATATTGCTTATCAGATATTTGCATTTAGTTTAATACAGACATCAGCTATTCTTCCCTCCTTTTGCCTATTTGTCCACTCAAATCCATCCATCCATCCATCCATCCATCCATCCATCCATCCCCAACTATCCATCAAAGAGACATATGCTGGGCACTATGTTGGACACTTGAGGATAAAGCAATGCTATGGACTGAATGTCTGTCCCCTTTTCCCTGCAAATCCATATGTTAAAACCTAATCCCTTTTGTAATGATATTTGGAGGGGAGGCTTTTGGGAGATGATTAGATTATGCAGGGGAAGCCCTCATGAAAGGGATTAGTTTCCTTATGAAACAGATCCCAGAGCACTCCCTTGCCCTTGTGAGGACACAGTATGAAGGCAGTTATCTATGAACCTGGAAGAGGGCCCTCACTAGACACTGAATGTTGGTAGCTTGATCTTGGACTTCCCAGCTTCCAGAACTGTGAGATATAAATGTTTGCTGTTTAGGCAATCCAGTCTATGGTATTGTGTTATAGTAGCCTGAACTGACTAGGACAAGCAGTGAACCAGACAACATTCTTATCTCCAAAGTGTTAATACTTTAGCAGACGAGACAGATAACCAACAATCAACCAAATGAATTCTGAATAACAAAATTTTAAGTAGTGACGGGTGCTATGAAGAAAAATAAAGCAAAAAAGGAAAGAAAATAACTGCAGAAGATAGGAGCTATTTAGATATGTTCAGGGAAAGCCTCCTCAAGAAGCAAAGAAGCAGCATTCCATTATTAACGGTTGTGAGTATGACTTGTATTTACAAAAATGGTACATCCTTCTATTTGATGGCTGTCAGTGCAGCACTGGTTGGAGCCCTAAATAAGCTAAGAAAATGAATAGTTTGGTGCCAGTATTAATTCCATAGAGATTGCTATAAAACAGCATTGCAATGTACAAAGAGATTTTCCTCATTTCCTAAATCTGAGACAAAATGAAAGTTAGATAATGAATACATTTTGAATCAAAGAAGTGGCTCCACTGAGTGATCAAAGATAATATTAAGCTTAATATTTTTCTTTTCAATGAGGCAGTTCTGTAGCCATTCCTCTCACAATGCCAGCTTTATAAGCAAAATGCAATGATGATCAAAATACTTTCTTGGGTGGACAACATTCATTAAATTATATAATGAATAAGAAGGTGTTCTGAAAAGCAAAAAGCACTATATAACAATAAGGTATTATTGTTACTGTTACTAGCCAACTCACCTGAACATGAAGGAAGCTGATCATAGTCCTGTGATGTTCTGTTAGTTTTGACATTTTCACCTGGTAACCTTCTAGCAGGAGGCAAAGGAACTTGGCCACTTGCTAGATCAACAAAGGGATCTTAAAAATAAAAACAAGTTTCAAATTAAAAGGATGATCTCTGTTGATTGGCTGAAGAAAAAAATTCTAGAATTATTTTATGAAGATTATGGCTTTCAAAAATAAATTAGAAAATTAAATTCATGACTGATATTAACCATTTTTTACTGCCTGCATATTTTCTAATTTATTCATCACTTGCTTAAATATGCTCTTCACATTTATTTCCAGATAATAAAGACTACTTGTTTTATATTTATATTTTGCAGATATATTTAATTATAAGATTGTTGACAATAAAAACAGCTTCTAAATTTTATTTTCTGTCCCAATCCAACCTGTACAATGTATAGAAACTGTTCTAAAGTAAAAGCAAAAAACAAACAAACAAATATACATAAAACCATGGGTTTGGATCCTCCCTATAAGAGTATTATCAAATTACTTGATCTCTCTAAGCATTGGGCATACAAAATTTGTAAAACAGACCTGAAACTTCGGATTTGTGTGGATTAAATGAATTTGTGCATGTAAAATCTTCTGTACATACAAGGTGCTTATTATTATATTGGGCATCCTATGCTTAACATCATTGTTGTTAGTTGGCTCACAAAATAGTAAATTTAATTGTTAAAATTATGCCATTTAGTAATTAACATTTGAATATACAGTAAAATGTGATAATTTACCACCTTGGCAGTCAGAGACGGGGCATCTGAAATAGTAAAAAATATGATATTTACTAACTGGAACTAAAGGGAGAAAAAGAGATTTTGTCAGTGTTGCTGTATTAAATCATTAATACCATAAACCCAACTGGTTTAACATTCATAGTATTATATGGGTTTAAATTCTTAGAGAATTGATTCCCTTTTTGAGTAGACAAACATTACATCTGAAAACCTTGGTTCACTAATAATTTATCTAGCTATCACTCCCACCTCAGGCACCGCTGCTTTCCTCTCATAGTACTTTTATGTTGTCGATATCTCTGAAAGTACCGTCAATTCTTCTGAGGACAGGGATCTGAGGGATCTTTTCCTACTTCTCATGTTTGAATTATACCTCCTAAATCAAACATAGCACCTAGAACACTCTTGGCAAATAGCTTGCACTTAATATTTACTTTTAACTACCACAAATAAATCCACACAAATTCAGATTGTTCACAATTTTAAAATCAGTGAAACCTGAATTGCTAATGTAAAGCAAAAATTGTAAATATTAAAGAAGACCCGATTGAATTTCATTGTTTTAACTTCCACTCCCTTAGACATTAATAATATGTAAGTATTTGATTACTTACGATGAAAACATAGGCTTAAATATTGACTATTTTTATATTAGTTTTTGACTGGATAATGTAAGGCAGGATTTGAAGCCATTATCTTTTCACCTTTTTTGGAGTATAATAATTATCACCAGCTTTGCTGAGGACTTTTTGACTTAGACAAGGCTCTTTAACTTGTTTTCATTAATTTCAAGATTAAAATAACTCTTAGATTTTGAGTTTTCAATATTTGAAGAATTGGTGGTCCAGCTCCATTAATTTTCCAGAAATATTTTTAGGAAGGAATGAGAAGATAAATCGCATGAGACAATGTTGATCTTTTGGTTTGTTAGAGAAACCAAAGGAAACAAATATGGTGATTTCAGCATAAATTTTGAAATTTCCCAAAGATTTTGCACTAGATATTTCATAAAATTTACTTTAGGTTCTTGTAGACTCTAAATGCCCCTGATACAACATTAAGTCAGAGGAAAGACTGTCTTTTACAATACATACACTTGCTTATTTCTTTACGGGAAATTTATAGGTTTGTCAAATACACTTAATGCTATTTCTAATCATCTATTTATTTAAGGTTAAAAAGTAAACTCTGGATACACTTCAGAGCCATACATAGACTATAAAATATACCACTGTACTATATTCTTCCATTAAACTATATTATTTAAAAGGTACTAGATACACTCAAAATATTATTATAAATAGCAAAAATACCTGCTTATGGTTCTGTTTTGAATCATTATCATGTTCTATCTTGCATCATATCCTAAGTTTGCTATTTGTCAGCCATAGGGTAAACTGGGCTCTCTAAAGCAAATTATAAAGTTGGAAGCATTCAGGCTTTAAAGGGAAAGAGATTAGATATAACACAATTGCTACACAGAGTATAATAATTACCAATTGTCCCCTGATAAGAAAACTTTGTAAAGTAATAAAGCTTTTCTAAAATAAATTCTTCAAAAACTAAAGAAAAATATTATATCCACAGGATTAAAACAAACTGAAATGATCACAGCCAATTTATCACTTATATAAGTGTTTGAGAAATAAATGGATACACATACAGAGACTAATCTGTTGTAAAAAGCAAAGTACTACTGCCTGTGATTTATAGTACAGCACTGCAAAACTGAAAATTTAGTACTTATTTGAGAGATTATAAAAAACTAAGGGAAGACTGGGAGGAAATGGTTTGCTACTTAAAAAAGAAATGAGGAAATATACATCAATAAAAATTATATTGTGTACAAATATTTAACAACTATATACATTGCTCATGACATATTAACTGGAAAATGGTTATAAATAGCATATACTATGAGAAATAAATTTTACATAAATGTGAACTTACATACTCGTAGGCAAAAAACAAAACAAAACTAAACAAAAAAACAACAAAAAAAAAGGAAGGATACCTATCAATGATTAGGAGGAGGAAGTATGGATTTTTTTTTTTTTTTTTTTGAGAGAGCGTCTTGTTCTGTCACCCAGGCTGGAGTGGAGTGGTTCAATCTTGACTCACTGCAACCTCTGCCTCCCGGGCACAAGCCATTCTCTTGCCTTGGCCTCCCAAGTAGCTGAGACTACAGGCGCGAGCCACCAACACCCGGCTAATTTTTGTATTTTTGTAGAGCTGGAGTTTCACCATGTTGGCCAGGCTGGTGTCAAATTCCTGAGCTCAAGAAATATGCCTGCCTCAGCCTCCCAAAGTGCTGGGATTACAGGCATGAGCCTGTACCTGGCCTGGAATGTTTTTCTTAATTCTTTTTTTTCTTCACTATCTGAAACACTTCCAAATTTTTACCAAGTGTAAAAACAGAGGCAAATAAAATTAAATAATTAAAACAATGGCAAATTTCCTCCCTGGCCATCCATAAACCACCTGGAAGATTTATCAATTATCCCCCAAATTTTAATAGAGTATATCAAAGCAGAAACTAATGCTAAAAAAGGTTTGAAGAGCCATTTAGGTGAAACAAAGTTCTCCCCTCTTTGCTGCCCTCATGCTTTAGCTCATGTTCATATCTCTACTATGTAATGATCTACCATTGGTTTAAATCCTCCAGTGTCAGATAACTCACTACACTCAAGGTAGAACAATTCGTAATGATTTAGGAAACTTCTTTGTAGGATGAATGCAATTTTCATTCTTAACATTTCCCATTGATCTTACTCCTACCTTCTGAAGTGACATGGAAAAAATATAATCCTTCTTTCCCAAATACTGTAACTGAAGACAACTCTCGTCTACATCCAAGGTCTTCTCTTCTCTGAGCCAATTCTCAGTTCCTTTAATCCACTCTAGTTTACTTTATCATCCTGGTTGCACTTTTTTGAGAATACCCCAGCCCAGTATATTTCAAACTTGAACATGCATCAGAATCACCAGGAAGGCTTGTGACCACTGAGTCCCATTCCCAGGGTTTCTGATTTATTAAGTCTTGAATTTTCATTTTAAAGCAAATCCCCAGGAGATGCTAATGTTGTGAATCCGGAGAACACAATTTGAGAATTGCTGCTCTAGCCCATTAATGCTTCAACATCTGAACACAGTGGTCTCCACAAAGGCTGAGTACTGTGGAGGACTTCACTCCTCAGATTTGAATTCTGTGAGTTCAAGCCCCAAATGGCATGCGCTTTCTCATCATGATGATGCTTTATAAAGATTGTAGTCAACAAAACCCCTAAAACCTTTTCAACAATTGTTGCTAATGATCTGGATTTTCTTCATATTTTACTTATGCAGTTGCATTTCTGGATCCAAGAATAAAACTTCCATTTATCTTTAATAAAGTCAATTTGGCTAGCTTTCAGAGTTGAACTGTGACTTTAAGATTAGATAAGATCTTCAAGTGAGATTACAGGTTAGAGAAACAGCAAAATAAAGGTAGCATAAAGACTGACAAAAACACTGTATTTTGTGCACTGCACAAAGACACCTAGTTATGGTTATGAGCAGGACTTAAATACAGTCTTTGCTTTGTTTCTTGAGCCCTGACCTGGCACAAAGTAGAGGTAGGGGTGTCTACTTCAATCTACCAGCAAAAAGGAAGTACTTTTTTGTAATATGGAAAAAAGCACATATACACTAGTGGTAGCCTTGGGATTGGAGACAAAAGAGTGTAAAGCTTTTGTTGGGGACTTCAGGTTTTGTTAAGATATGATTGGCCTGTCCAAAACTGAGGGCTCATGTACAGCTGTAGGCATTACTATTCTGCCAAAAGAAATCTTACATGAAGGCCTAAAATAGAAAAGAGATAAAAGAAGAATGAGAGCCCTGCCTCTGCTTGCCCTGCCCCCTTGATCCTACAACAGTACTGAGGCACTTTTGCAGAGACATAGGACACTGCAATTTGACAATCACTACTATATAGAAGTCAATGAGCTATAAGGCTGAAAAGCTGAACCTGGCCCAACTGTGCAGGGCACTGAATGCTGGAATAAAAATGTAGGCTTGATTAGGTACTTAGTATAATATCATGAGAAAATTCAACCTCTCTTCCTAAGACACCTATCATTTGTCTTTAATTAGAAATAATTATTTCCTCAGGAAACCAAATCTCAATAATGTTTAGAAAAGATGTATCATTACACCAGACTAAGATTTTACAGACTGAACAACGAAAACAACGGTAAAATGCTCACAGAGTTTGTTTAAATTTTGCAGTCCCTTTTATTTACCTTTTATAATTCTAAAACTACTGAGTTAAACTTTAGCATTTATAGCATATTCTTAATAAAGTCAATTCTTAGGGAGAACTGCTATAATGAATCTTTTACATTTCTTTAGACAGTATAATGTATTAAATACTTTGCAAAACAATACTCAAATGCTCATTTATCAGCCAAAAAAATCTTTATGCTCTATGATATGCAATAGCATTAAAATATTAAAATATTTCTTTTGAAAAGGAGGAAAGCTAATACACACGGTTTTAAATTTGAATCAAAATAATTGTCACAATGAAAGTCATAAAGGGGCTGGGTGCAGTGGTTCACGCCTGCAATTCTAGCATTTTGGGAGGTTGAAGCAGGGGGATCACATAAGGCCAGGAGTTCGAGACCAGCCTGGCCAACATGGCAAAACCCCATCTCTACTAAAAATATAAAAAATTAGCCGAGTGTAG
The DNA here is from genome assembly GCF_000001405.40 of Homo sapiens. NCBI lineage: Eukaryota > Metazoa > Chordata > Mammalia > Primates > Hominidae > Homo > Homo sapiens. The sequence goes on from NC_000003.12 coordinate 105,675,750, forward strand.
TGGTGCACACCTGTAATCCCAGCTACTTAGGGGGTAGAGGCAGGAGAATCACTTGAACCTTGGAGGCAGAGGTTGCAGTGAACTGAGATCGCACCACTGTACTCCAGCCTGGGCAACAGAGTGAGACCCTGTCTCAAAAAAAAAAAAAAAAAAAAAGTCATAAAGGATCTGGTACCAGACTAGAAATCTGTCATGTAAATGATTATGAAAGACTGGAAAAGGAAACAAAAAAGTTGCCTTTTTTTTTTTTTAAGAAATACTTATTATAAGGGATGTTGATATTATTGGGAAGAGAATTAGAATATGTCCATCTATTAATGAAAGTCAAGAGAGAGTCAACAGGCTTGAAAAACATTGCCCTGACTCCCATGCTAGCCTGACACTCTAAGTTAAGGATAAGTGTTGTTGAGCTCCCTGGCAGCCAAGCAAACACAAAACAGGCAAATCTATAAAATAAATACAACGGTTTATAAAAATTGCATTTTAGCTAATAAGAGGGGACATTTTCATTTTAAACTAGTAATTTTTTTTAGCAATTAATCTTGAGGGGTTTCTTTATGAAGATTTTATATAAAAGGAAATGAACAATTAAGATAAAATAAATAACTAAAACCTTTTACAATTCTTTTGACAAAAACAGGTAAAAGTGTGTATTTGTGTAAAATGTTCTCTTTTATTATAGCTCTTGGAAAGCTTGACTTTATTTGTCAGAAAAGCCACATCATCAAAGTTCCATCTATTGGGGCTTAAGTTACGCATATAAAAGGTAATAGGAGAGCCAGAAACTATCTTGAACTTAGCATCAGGAAATTTAAGTAACTAAGATTTGGAATGACTCATTGTTCTAAAAATCATGTTAAAGTCTATGTATAAGACAAAGTTTTGAATAAGTGAAAAAAAATAGCGAAATACAGCAGTGTTTACATGTAACTAACTATATGAATAAAAGCCCAAGCAGTTATGATATGGTTTGGCTCTGTGTCCCCACTCAAATTTCATTTTGAGTTGTAATCCCCACGTGTTAGGGAGGGAACTGATGGGAGATGACTGGATCATGGGGGTGGTTCCCCCATGCTGTTCTCATGATAGTGAGTGCTCATGAGATCTGGTTTTTGATAAATGTCTGGCATTTTCCCTGCTTGCTCACTCTCTCTGGCACCTGCTGCCATGTAAGACATGCCCTGGTTCCCCTTCACCTCTGCCATGATTGTATGTTTTCTGAGGCCTCCCCAGGCATGCAGAACTGTGAAGCAATGAAACCCCTTTTCTTTACAAATTACCTAGTCTTGGGTAGTGCTTTTATGGCAGTGTGAAAACGGACTCATACACTATACTTCCTGCTTGGACCGGAATGGATTATGACACTAGTGCTTTCATTGGCAGAATCCAGTAAACTCATAAGGTTCCACAGGTCAGGAGGCATCTATCACAAATGGGTAAACAGTGAATGGCTCAATCAATATTTACTGATGTAAAAGCAGAAGATTATTCTTGAAAAATAAACCACTTTAAGAAATTGAAGCTGTGTATTCCAAGTTGTACGTCCATAACTTGTGTGTCTTATCAAATCTCTTCAAACTTTCTAAACTATCAAACCAAGTAAAAAAAAAAAAAAAAAACTAAGAAAAACTAATGGTAGACATGACTAATAATCAACTGAGGAAGCTGATAAGGGAATCAGTTGGGAATAAAGATTCTCAAGTTTCCATGAGGCATATACGTAGCTAAAGGACAAACTGAGCACTTTTTAAAGATTTTCATGATTTATCTCATGTAGAAATGTAAGGAACTATGAAAAAAAGAACATCTTTACCCTGTATTTTCCCAAATCAAGTCCAAGGAGGCAAAGGTTTCAGGGCACAGTATCACTAACAAGACAGACTGGAACTGTTAATTAGTATCAGCAGATTCCATATAACATTTTTTTTTCTTTTTCCTGATAATTCTAACTAATGCAACAGATAGTTTATTAAGTCTTCATTTTTATTTCAGATCCTCTTTTGAAATTTTAAAATATACTAATATAAAAAATTAGTTTACTAATATTAAACAAATAATATTATATAATATATACATATGTAAATAATAATATTAAATAGTTACTAAGAAAAAATTAGTTTTCCTTAGAATACCAATAATTAGTGAGTAGATACACACTGAGGCATTAAAAATATCACAACAAAACAATAAAATGCAGCTATTTCAGAAAAACTTCTCTATTCTTGTTATAACAACATAATTTACCAAAATCTTATGTTTTGAACAAAATTATGACACTAAGGCATATCTAGTAAAATTTTAAAAACCTATTAAAAAACATTGCATTGGGAATCGGAAGACAAAGTCTAAATATTGTTCCCATTACTATTAGCCTAACCCCTTAGCAGTTCTGGTTCTCAGGGTTGCATTTGTAACATAAGGAGGTTTCTGGACTGGACAATCTCTACAGCATCATTTCTACTGTAGTTCCTTATTGCTCTTTCCATCTCTGTAATTATGTTGGCATTAAACCAATCAACTGACAAACAAACGTACCCACGATTGCTACTTTTACCACCCAGGGATTTTTCTGTTCTGCTAGGGAGGTAGAGACTAATGAATCACTAACATTTATTTGATAGTATGGTTTTGGAAATATTTTTGCTTTAAGTGAATAGTTTTCTTTGGCTTTTCCCTCCTACCTGAAGGAAGAAGAAAAAGATCCTGTCCTGAGGATGGCCGGCTACTGGAGCCAGGAGGTTTTGAATGTTCAATGAGACTATGCCTTGCAGGAGGTGGGGGAGGTGGGAGAGATGGAGGGAGGGCATCAAAAGCATCTTCACCTGCATTTAAAGAAAGGTCGATATCAGCAGCAGAACTTCATTAATCAAAATACACAGCATCTAACAAAAGTAATAATTGATTTTCTCTTGCTGCTTATAAAGAATTTCACTCGCAGGGTTTATCCAGCAGTTCACCAACTTTGATAATGGGATCTAATTATTTTGTGGGAGAGTCTGGAGAGAAACACACACATGCACACATATACATACATACATACGTACAAACACACCCATGCAAACTTTTTCTATCAGGCCTTTTTATAAAAAGCAGCATTGTAACTTATGAAACAGCTCATAGTTCACTTGTAACCTTTATAATATTAGGACTCAGAGTTTGAACTAAAAATTATTATCAGTCACACTATGAAAACAGGATTTTCTGTGTAGCAAAAAGAGTTCACAGCCTTTAACTGGAAAATCACCTCAAATACATATAATTTAATGTCAAAGAATAGTTTAGATTATCCCATATAGTTTATTCCACTGGATTTTAATTTATTTAACCTAATGTTTCATATATTTGATATGCTGTCAAAATATACATAAAATGTACCTAGAGCAGAGAATATGATATTTTTCAATTTGTCAGATTTAGCTACAGAAGAACAGCTAAATATAGAACCTTCTCTGGTTCCAAGCACTACTTACATTTGCATATTTCCCAGCTTTAATAACTAGAATATTGCAGCATAGTTTTATATCTACTTATTTGTCCCCTGTCACACCTTACTATTCTACTCATAGTTTTCATTACCTTGAGTCTTTAAAAAAAAAAAAAAAAAAAAAAAAAGCACATGTTTGGTAAGCTATCTCAAAATACTTTAGGAATGAGACAGGGTATACATAAACACATATTCTAATAATAAAAATTCACACTTTTAAGTTGAATGATTTAAACATAATGGCATATTTAAAGAAAAATGAGGCTTGACGTGGTGGCTCATGTCTGTAATCCCAGCATTTTGGGAGGCCAAGGTGGGTGGATCATGAGGTCAGGAGATCTAGACCATCCTGGCCAACATGGTGAAACCCCATGTCTGCTAAAATACAAAAAATTAGCCGGGCATGGTGGTACGTGACTGTAATCCTGGCTACTCGGGAGGCTGAGGCAGGGGAATCGCTTGAACCCAGGAGGCGGAGGCTGCAGTGAGCCACGATCGTGCCATTGCACTCCAGCCTGGTGACAGAGAAAGACTGTCTCAAAAAAAAAAAAAGATATTACTATTTACTGAACTTGCTTTAGAAAAAATTGGCACACTAATTTCTTTAATCATATTTTTCTTATTAACACATCTGAAGATGCACAAGACAGAGTTTTGCTATCATTTTAACCTTCAGCTATTTCCTACATTATCATATTTATTCAAATCTTTTTTCAGCCCTTAAACATCTGACACTGGGCCAGGCTCATGCATGATATGAAAATCAAAATTATAAGGCTCTGACTCAAGGAGCTGAGATTCCATGAAAGGAGCTTAAAAAAAAGCTCACAAATAGGTATGATTTACAAGTGAAAGTGTTTTATTGGTCCCATAAAAGAGACATATGCATTGGATGAGGAAAGAGAAATGTAGACAAGTGGTATTCAGTGAAGTGTTGAAGAACAGGAAGTCCTGGGATATCAGAAGGCTCAAAAATTTATTCATCAAATGCAAGGACAGGATCGTCTAAGTAGAGTAAACAGTATGAAGAAAAAAATGACACGCATAAGAAGACCTAGAAAAAGGTCAAGGTAAAAAGACAGGTTGGAAAATCTGTCTACTTTGTCATATAAAGTAGTCACCCATCCACATTTAGCTATTTAAATTTAATGAAAAGTCAGTTCCATAATCACACTTAACCCATATGCAAATATACAGATCCTTTACATCACCACAGAAAGCTTTATTGAACAATGCTTATCCAGGTGATGAAGATCTGGGTAATATGTCAAAAACAAGTGTGCAGGAAGAAGTGGAAGGGAGAGAAAGACTGTAGGTAACAGAGTTAGGAGCCTTTTGTAATTGATGTAGGTGAGAATAAAGTCCTGAACTACAGAGAGAACAGGAGCAAAAGATACTGCAATTGTGTCATTCAAAATACTAGTCAGTGGTACTTGTGAGAAAATGGAAAGGTTCATTTCGTATTTCTGGTGGCCTAACAGCCAGTTCAGAAAAGCTTGTAAATTGACTTTCATCATATATTATTTTATGTTACAGTGACTTGTTATTGTGAAGCGTTATGTAAGGTGTGCAGACATTCTGTCTTCTAAAAACAGGGTGAGATGCTTCCTAATTAGAATTAATGAAATTAACAGTGACAGTGGCACCAGCCAACTTCAACATATACACACACCTACATATACCTTCACCTGTGGATACAAACAAAAATACACATAGGATGTTTCTTCATTATTATAATTTGAAACAAGGAAATTGAGATTTTTTTGAATGTGTTACAGTTGTAATGATTAGAATAAAACAGAATTTATTATCAGTTCTCTACATACAACTATTTAATTTTGCATAATTTAATTAGCGTAAGTGGAACTGGTGCTCATGCTGCAAGAAAAGCAAGTTCATATTTATTAAGAATTATTATACTTAAAGAAAATCTCAACACTTCAAGTCATCACTTCAAAACTACTAGAGCACAAAGCTCTCATGTGTTTTTAGACTACATTTAGTATGGACAAAACAACTTGCTTAAAACCTGACTGATGCCCAACTACTACACTACTACCTTAATCATCTACATGGAGTAATGGTCTCGTGAACTTGGGAGTCACCGGCACCTGGAGAACCCATTCAAATTTCAGGCAAATTCACAACCCAGTGAGTCTGTGTTATACTGAACTCTGAATTCTGAAAATTCTGAAATTAAAAGAAGGAGGGGTGGGTTGTTCAAAACTTTTTTAAAGGTTTCAACCTAATGGAGGGATGAGAAGATCATAATCAGAGGGCGTCCTGTTGAGTGAAGAACCATGCTTTGGATTGTCCCGAGTTGGAGGCCTGGCAGGTGGTAATGGCACGGGATCAGAGGCTGAATCAAAAACATCTCCTAGAGGATAACACAAAACCTTAATGTATTTTCAGTACAATGGCATGAAATTTTGCCTTTAAATTCTGACCATTAAGATGTACATCACAAAGGAAATTATATTCTATACGTACCCTTTAAATATATGCTTAAGTCAGGGATGTTTGATTTCTTCTCTGAAGATGGACCATGTGTTCCATTCAGCATACAGTGACCATTATCACAAGACCTAAAGGACAGTTCAGAGTAAAATTATATAAGGAGAATACTTTCCAATTAAAAGTAACTTGAGAGGTAGAGGGAACTAGTATTCCTGTTTATTTAATAAAGTTTGAACATATATTTTTCTTTTCTCAAAATTACCAGTAATAACATCAAGATACTCATCCCTTATTTTAAAATGTAGAAGTAAATATCTCAAGTAACACAGTCTCTCTTTTTTTAAACTATAACCAAGAATTACAAGGGCCACAAAAATTGTTGATATCCTAAACACTATGTAAAATTAACTTATCTCTGTGGAAGAATTCAATAGAACCTGGTCAAGTTTTTGAAGTAAAAAAAGATGTATGTGCCAAGGCAAAAACATATAGCAGTCTCAATGACTTTATTATTTGTTGATAGTATTTAATATCATATTTTTGCTTCTGTAACTTAAAATTTCCTTGTAATAAAAATAAGCTACAGCACATAAAAGAAGAAAAATTATTGAACTTTCAATAATTCCATTACAATTCTGACAGGAACATTCAAAGAACTAGAGCCTGTGGTACTATTTCACCACTGCCAAGAACAAAATTCTGGCCCTCTGACACTACAGAAAATGACTTTAGCAAAGGCCTTGGGTACACGACAAGTACAGTTTTTAATGTGTTTGTAAAGGGTACTACTTACCAGAAAAGTATGCTTGAGTTGTTGGGGCTTTTTTTGTTTTGTTGTGTGTGTATCTGTGTGTTGCAAAGGCTGGAGTGCAGTGGCATGATCTTGGCTCACCGCAACCTCCGCCTACCAGGTTCAAGCAATTCCCATGCCTTAGCCTCCCAAGTAGCTGGGATTACAAGCGTGCACCACCACGCCCAGCCAATTTTTTTTATTTTTTAGTAGGGTTTTGCCATGTTGCCCAGGCTGGTCTCAAACTCCTGGCCGCAAGTGATCTGCCTACCTCACCCTCCCAAAGTGCTGGGATAACAGGCATGAGCCACCGAACCCAGCCAAATTATTGGTATTAATTCTTCGGAATCATACTATGAACACAATGGTTAAAATTGAGCCATGGGAAGATAGCAGCAGGAAGAGAAGATAAGGAGCATATTTTGCCTTCAGCATATAGCTCTATAACAATCAACTGACAAAGAGCTATAGAAATCAGAGTTTACATTTTACTTTTCTCTGATTTACTCTGAATTTTTAGAGCAAAGTAAAAGTGCGTATGTAATGGAAGAGACGGATATTTGAATAGATAATGCAAGAATGCTTCATCTGAAATTCATTTCTATTCTCTCTGGTGGCCACTTCTCTTTAAGGGGCCAGATATAGTTCATTTAAAAATAGTTATCATGTATTGAATCTTCATAATAATGATGGATTTTTACTGAAATTAAATTGAATTACTCATTTACTGGGTCACTTTTTCTACATATTGACAATTCACTTCTCCTGATGTTCCAAAGGGGGAAAAATACACACAGGGAAAGAAAGTGTTAAGCTTAAAGAGCTCTTTGGAGAGCACAAAAGAAGATACTTCATCCATCAGCTTTCAAGAACAAATTAGATAAAGAATTCACTCCAATTACATTTAGGGATTATCAACGTTTATTACTTTTCTGTAACAATAGAAAAATGGTAATGATGGTTATAATTCAAATTTATTTTCAAGATTTGGGAGCTCTGCCACAAAAAATCACATCCAATATGATGTAACAATTAAAATTTAACGTATTAAAATTATACTCCTCACTTATCCAGCAATGAAAAAAAATAAGACTCCCAAAGAGACCAAAAAAAGCTCATCCTACTTTAGTTTTTAAAAATTACTGCACATTTGTAAGAGCCAAAGAACCGAAAATTGTAACAACTTATATTTGATGAGAAGGAATATCTTTTGTTCTCAAATACATCACTAGCTACTTGGTTCTTCTGATACATAAAATTAGCTCCTCGTTATTTCTTTGTCTTCTCAATGATATGATTTTATCAACAGATGTCTTATCTAAACACCAGCAATAGCAAGGAGTGTTTAGGTTCTTGCTTTTAAAAAAATAAAGTCCTGCGCTGTAGACTATTAACAATTCTGGGTAATAATTCAGCAGAATGTTGATAATTCTAACCAGGGTCACTTATTAAGACAGACATCTGCTTAAAATGAAAATGTGCTTCTCTTTCCAAGTGCTGCATTTCCTACCTCAGTGAGATGCCTGAAGAAACACATTAAAACATTTTTTAGTTTTTCATTGGAAAAGAAGGGAACACTGTACTTATAAAATGTTTTCAGTTGATTGACTTGACCTCAAAAGGAAATGGCACACTAAGTAAAGATGGCACAGATGACTGAAGTAATTGCCATCTCCCCTATCCCTCAGTCAGTCATGGAGAGATGCTGGAATGTAGGGCCACCAGCAGTACTTGAGCCCTATTCTATGTGCCAAGCATGGCCCCAGGAATGTTATACAAAGGAAACCAGAACTCAGAAAGTAAGTTTTGTAGCTGGGAGTACTGAGTACCTCATATATTTCAGTCAGGTAAAACAAACAAACCCAGAAATAATAGATTTCAGTTTATAAATTCAATAATATAAATGCAGACTCATGCCTTTACTTAAAGATAAAGTAATATTTCAATACAAACAACCCATTATTAATAACTCTTATTTACCTCGATGGAGCTTCCAAGTCAAAGACCAAGGCTATCCCCATGTAAGTGAGAATAAGCCACAAAAGTAAGGAAAAAACCCCCATTATTCCACACATTCTTTTTTTTTTTTTGAGATGGTGTCTCGCTCTGTCACCCAGGCTGGAGTGCAGTGGCACAATCTCGGCTCACTGCAACCTCCGCCTCCCGGGTTCAAGCGATTCTCCTGCCTCAGCCTCCTGAGTAGCTGGGATTACAGGCGCCCACCACCACACCCGGCTCATTTTTGTATTTTTAGTAGAGACAGGGTTTCACCATGTTGGTCAGGCTGGTTTCAAACTCCTGACCTCATGATCTGCCCGCCTCAGCCTCCCAAAGTGCTAGGATTACAGGCGTGAGCCACCACGCCTGGCCTATTCCTCACATTCTTATTTGATCTAAAGGAAGGTAAATAGCACTTGATAGAAAAACAAAAAGTTAAGAGAAACACCTTGGTATTTTTTTCCCACTTCTTCAAAATCTGAATAGAAGTAGGTAGCAAGTACATCAAGAAGGAAAATGAATTTAAATTATACTAGTATGTACATCATGAAGAAAAATTCTAAGGAAGGTCAGAATAATACCTTAGTTTCTGAGCACTAATTTTTCTTCATGAGATAGGTGTTTAGAACTGATAAAATAAAGTGACTTCCTGATTAATGAGAAATCTGCATCTTTTAGTTTTCTTTAAAAGTAATGCTGGAAATGGTATAATAGGAAGAGAAGGATTTGAGCTGGAAATTAAGGATTTTTAATTAGACGTGAATCAATTGTTTAAAAACAAACATTACAAATGATAATGCTTATGCAGATGTAAGTGGCAAAAATCTGCCCATACTCTTACCGAACAGGAGGTTTTACATTATGACAATGAGATGGTTGTGAATTCAGGGAAACAGGGTGGGATGAAGGAATCTTGTATTCATCATCATCTTCCTCTACTGGGTCTCTTGTTTTCTCTGAAAGAGAATTTGCTAACGGACCAGTACACCTACCAGGGGAAAAAAAATCCAATCTAGTTTAAGCATAATATTCAAAACAGGCAAGTCTGATGTGACATATTCAAGTCAAAGAAGCTACTTTATCACTTATGTTCATTTTTCAATTACAGGGTATCATCAGAGAAGCTGTTCTTATATCAAATACAAATGAAAACAATTTTCAATCTTTTGTTAAGACCCTTGATGGGATAAAAGAATTTTCATCCTCACAATTTTAAATGGCACAATAGGAAAAACTAGTAACCTGTCGAATAAAATAAAAAGATGTTGGATTTGTAAGACAAAATGTACAAATTTATTCAAACCAAATCTATTAAAATATTAATATTTTGTTCCAATTTAAATTAAATGGGTAAAATATGATGCTACAATAATAAGCATGGTTGTTTTATATATTAAAGAAGTCTTTATAGAATGGTCAAACTTTTTGTCTCCTGTGAATATTATCTATAGTTGGAAAAATATCCAGTTTAATTCTGTAAAACTTAACTATCCTGTGAAATTATAGTTGAAGTTGTTAGGTTTTTCTTCCTACCAACAACTGAGAGCTAGAAATGAATGGAATGATTAGATGTAGATAATGAGAGAACTTATTTTTAAGTCTTTGAAGTACATTATTTTTATGGTTTAAATTCCCTGGCTAAATAAAAGAGAATTAAAATGAGTAAAACCATCACCTAATATCAAAAACATTAAGCATTTCACTTATCCATAAGAGTAAATAAACCAAATAAAACAAACCCAAACAAATGGGCAAACATAAACAATGTTTTTCGTAACTGTTGCTACCAGAGTTTAATCTAACCCTGGCTGAAGCCAATGAAAAATGCCAAGGCAGAAATGCACAAACTCATCCTGATTCACTTTAGGACGACCAACTAGTTTGCAAGGCATTGGGAATACACACATGGATCCAAATCTTTTTGTTAATCATCATGAACCTCATGAGAAATCTGTTCAATTTAAAAAGGAAGGAAAAAAAAAAAACAAAAAAACTAAGTGACTGCAATTTTGCAGCACCTTCTATAGAGGGAGCAAGAGGCCTTTGGTATATTAAACAAACATGCCTGAATTAACATTCATTTTTATTTCTTTTTATTAGTTAGAACAGAAACAATTTTAGGGGCTTTTCTTTGTGACCATTACAAGAAGGCATTTTGAAAAATCTAAAGATTTAAGTTTCAACCATATTATCTAAGTCATTAGATAGGACATTCAAAGATCAAAGAAAAACTAAGATTTTTCAAGTGTATGTTTATTGATACCTATCTTTGAAAAAAATTTCAATACTGATCTTTAAATTCTTGTTGTTTGAGCAACTTTAGAATTCACATGAGCGTTACAGGGAGACAAAAGCACAGAGACAAAAGCATAGTGACAAAAGGTCCAGTGTCACTACCTACAGCACAAGCTAAGGGCCTTAATAATAATCTATTATTACACCTATTATGGTTTAACTTTGGAGGATTTACTTTCCAATTAAAGGAAGTTAAGTATATGGGCTGCAAAATGGTGATCTGATGGCACTGGAACTGGGAGAGACTTATAATATTACTTTTCCATAAATTCCTGTAAACACAGCCATCAATTTAGCTAAGTCAAGGACCAGAATGGGTTCTATTACCAAATGAAATGAGAAATATATACTGTACATCCTCTCTATGCCTAAGATACTTTCATTTATAATGAATCCCTTTCTATGCAATTCAAGCATACACTATGTAAAAAGAAAACAGTATTTTTCACTAAACATTCAACAACTATTCAATATCAGAAATGTTCTAAGATCTGCCTGTTGCAGGTTCCCTCCAAAGATTTAAGTTTCCAAAGAAGCAGTTCATTATGAGTCAACAATGGACCATTTTTTAAATCACATACGTTGTGGCTAATTTGATATTTTACCTTCATTGATAGAGAATTTCTCGAGTAATTTCCCCCACTCTTTTGCTTTGCCACAAATCAGTAGATTATTTCAGAATGAAGTGAAAAGCAAAGCTCATCTAATACTTCATGGAATAATAAGGCTTATTGCTAAAACTTACTAGTATAAATTGTCAACTTACACAGATTTTAGAGAATTATATCTAGAAGTGAAAAAATAGTTTTCAAGTGGTGTTTGTATCTAAATATGAAAAAAATACTTAGGTGTTCCATTTATCACCATTTTAATAAAGTTCTAAAGATTCAGATTTTATTTTTCTGCTTATGTTTTTTAATGAAAATGTTTAATATCAGTATAATAGTCTATTTGGATTAGAAATAAACCAAAAGAATAACATTACAGTGTATTTTATTCAAGATTACATAGTTTTTATTAAAAATTAATCTTATCCAGTTCTGAAAAAAAAAACTGGTTTCTATCAAAAAAAATAACAGAAGAGGATGGTACAAATGAGATAAAGAAGTTGTATATAAAATAGCAAAATAAAAAACTAGAGTCATGTAACTAATTATACCATCTGGAATTACATGTGGGGTTTTATTTTCCTCTACAAACTCATTCAAAAAACAGGTTTAATTTTACTTACTACTAAATAACAGGTAAAATAATTAGATTTATATTTAGTCATTATCTATCCATGTATGTGACATTTGGCAGTAGAAAAAATTTCTATCTTATGGGGCATGGGACAATTTTCAGTCATTGACTAAACTTACGGGAAATTTTTAGGATACCAGAGGAATAAAGCTGAACAAATTGTATTTGGCTGACTCCACATTAAAGCCTACCATTACACTTATTACTGCAATCCCTTTATATTCTCATCTTACATTCCCGGAGTGTTCTGCACTGATGCTGTTATTACTGAGTTAATACACTGGTAATACATAGGGACATACACTCTCAAAGATGCATAGTCACCACCCCCCCCACAACCTGGACATTTTATTAAATTCATTGTGTTAGTTATTTGAGCCTTCAGTGATAAATACATTCATCTTCTACATATGCACACTTGAAACAAACCAAGAAACAAGTGAATTTTCACGCCAGCACAGGAGATAGTATCCAATGCTATGCTTAATTAGTAAGCTTGTTTTCTACATATAAGAATCTATCTTCCTTTAATAGTATCTGAAGGCAAGTAACGAAAAAATATCTTCTGTTAAAATAGAATCTTTAGAGCTTGCCCTATACATTACACCATATTTCTTATATTACATTATCCCAATCCTAACAGGGAAAAATGTCTAACTCAAATAAATAGTCCAGAGAAGAGACAAAACAAAATATAGCTATATTTGAAATGATTTTTGCACATGTGCCACATATAAATCATTTCCTCAAAACACTAAATTTTATCATATACATGCTAATTTTCAAGGGTCTTTCATGACATCAAAAAAAAGTCTGTGTGGTATACTATCAAGCTTTAAGATAAGCTTTACTTATAAGCATTTTCACTAACTTGTTTGTAAATCGGAGAAACAGATTTGAAGTTGCTTTGTACTTGTGTTCTATCCAGCCTCTGTGCTCTTCACACAGATAACCTCATGGTTTGCTCCCTTACTTCCTTCAAGTTTCTGTTCAAATATTAGCCTTTCAGAGAGGTCTTTCCTAATGACCTCATCTAAAGTATAAACCTCTCTATCATTATTTATCCTCTTCCCTGCTTATTTTTCCTCCTAGCACTTACCACTAGCTGACAATATACAATATAGTTATTTGTTTACTTTCTCTTCTCCCTAACTAGAGCTTAAATTCCAAAGAGGATAAAGGATTTTATCTTGTACAAACTGAACCTCTAGTAAGTAAAGCAACTGAATGAAAACAGGACAGTTAGGTGAAATTTGTATTCTCTGTTTATGGAACCAAAAATACAAGGACTTATCTCTTTAGAAAAATATATATTATAAGAATATATATTCATAAAAATAGATAATACCACCTCCAACAACAAAAAAACCTTTCTTACAAAAATGCAAAACCAAGTAATATTGATTCATGGCTATTTGAAAGCCTAAGTTTAATATATCAAAAGTACAAAAGGTCCATCTCTAAAAGACAAGGCACACACACAAAAAAAATTCTTAAAAAAAAAAAAAGATATTCCTCAGCATTTCAGAACATTATCTTACCTGGAAGTAATTACTCCATTATTACTTGTAATAATGCCTCTGTTCATTTGCCAATCTATTGTGTGCCAAGTAAAATAAATATTTCCTTAACTATTCAGAGTATCATTTAGTTTTAATTTTGAAAAATCAAATTATTTCAAAATAAATATAATTTAGTAAATAAATAATTTAAACTATAAAGTAAAAAGAATCCACATAGGATTATTTTGTTCTCCCTCCAAAAAAATAATTACCCATGTTTCTAGGATTTACTTAAAATTTTATATTTATAGCTAAGTGTCAAAGATGTTAAGCAGAAACCATTTAGAAAAAAACATTAATTTAGAAAAATTAAGTATATAGATACAAATAATTTCAGATTGCTTTTACAACAGTATGTTTTTTAAAAGTAAATTTCATACTCTTCTAGGTCTCAAGACAAATTACACAATAAAAGTCAAATAATTGCAAAGATACAGTTTAACAGGAAACACTATGACAGCAGCCTCTGACATCATGTAAATGGGAATCAGAGTAAACAATATCAAATATTTAACAATTCTATTTCAGTAAATATTTATAACAACATAGTATAAATGTAAGGTAAATGTTAGCTTTGACATTCTTGGATTTAACATTGGAGTTTTCAACATTTGTAAGAACTACAGAAGTGTATGTTTGGTAGGAATGCGTAATTTTGCTTTGGCCTGATTTTGAAACATATACCAAGAGTCTAAGATGGAAATGAACTCTCGAACATCTGACATTCCTATTTCTGTGAGTGGCATTTTGCTAAGACCTCTGTTCTAAGACCATCCACAGCCAAGACTCTTGACTCACTGTTATTGTCAGGTTTGCCATCAGTATCCTTTAAAAAAACACACTGTATAGAACCTAAAAAGCTGAATCTCAAAAGGATTTTGGAGATAATTTAAGTTAAACTGATCCTCTCTTCTACCAGATGGGGAAAGGCCCAGAGAAGTTTTCCTGTTAAAAATAAGACAAAGGCTGGGCATGGTGGCTCACGCCTGTAATCCCAGCACTTTGGGAGTGTGAGGCGGGTGGATCACAAGGTCAGGAGTTCGAGACCAGCCTGGCCAATATGGTGAAACCCCGTCTCCACTAAAAATAAAAAAATTAGCCGGGCATAGTGGCGGACGACTATAGTCCCAGCTACTTGAAAGGCTGAGGCAGGAGAACCGCTTGAACCCAGGAGGCAGAGGTTGCAGTGAGCCGAGATCGCGCCACTGCACTCCAGCCTGGGCGACAGAGTGAGACTCCATCTCAAAAAAAAAAAAAAAAAAGACAAATACTTAATGGCGGAGTCAGGTGTGGTACACAGTCTGATTTTATTCTACTGTTCACATCAGCATTCCATGCTGGTTTTGTAATAAACACAATGCATAACTAAACAATTAAGAAAAATGCTTATGATAATGTTAAGAAAGGAGGGCATAAAATTATCTCTACCATATAATCTAAATAAGGTAAAAACAAGTTTAAATAAAAAATGTCAAAATGTTAAAACTCTGGACATTGATATTTAGCATATGCATATGCTTGTGCTTATGTATCTCACTTTTTTCTTTCTCTTATATACTTTGCATATTGTCTACAGTGAACAACTGCTACCCACAGAGTCAGAAACAAAAATAAACTGGAGAGATAACTGTGCCATTAAAAGCTAGCATTTGTACTGCTAACTATGGCTGACTTGCAGCATGCAAAATTGAAAACTAATTTGCTGGCAAGCATGCACTGTTAAAATATTTCTCTAGTTAAGTGAAACAATTGCACTGTTTCTGAGGGAAAAATCAAGAGTAAATAGGGAGAAAGTATGACTAATTTTAGATGCACTTACCAACTGAAGTATTAGAAAAAATACATTTTACTATCAATTTGTTATTCTTGCTTCATTTACAGGAGAAGCAGGTATTTAATGTTAAATACAAATGAAGCACACTGCAACTTCCAGCTCGCTTGCCAATATGAATTTAATAAACAGAATGTGAACATTTAATCTCTAATTAGCAAGATTTCATTTTCTAATGTTCTCTGAGTTATCAAAGGTAATTGAGCTTAGATGTTTTATTACATGCACATATATCCAGAGTTCATTTAGCACTAGAATATAATCATATGTTGTCACTGATTTAGAGCCTACTACCCAGAGTATGTATAATTGCTTCCAACTCCTATGCCTGCTAAATATCTCGCAGTTCCAAGAGAAGTTCCCACTGGAGAATGATCTAATTCGCTGAGTTTCCCACCGTCCCCTGAATGATGCCAAATTTCACACCCTTGTTTTTTCTCACATTCTGCCTTTCCCAATTGTGCCTGTACTTCATGAGTCATGAAATGCCCATCCCTCCATGACATCCTTCATTCACAAAGTCTATAACAGCCTCTCCTCCAAACTCATTTGAAACTACTAAGTTAGCATTATAAATGTTAGTGCACACCATTCTCTAATGATTTCATATACATTAATGTTATTTTCTAAAGTAGACTGTAAATTTCTGGGGGGCTGGGATCTACCTTATTTTTCTTTTGCATTGATATGTATAGTGGGAGTTCAGTGAACTGCAGATGAAGGAATGAAGAAGCTCTAAGACCTTCTATTGTAAATAAGGACCTCAGCAGATAAAATTTAAATCAATAAACCAAGCATCCACGTATTCTCTGTGTACTTACTTACTATATGCAAATCATTTACTTAGTATATATCAAATACAGTAAGATGTTATGGGAGATAGAGAACACAAAGTTTTTGTCCTCAAAGTCTTGTAATCTTTTCAATTGGAGAGTCACATTAAAATTAGAAAACAGTATGGCAGAGTATATAATTAAATGAGTAGGAAATAAACTGCAGGAAGAGGAATGTAAATCAGTCTTAATCACTACAATTGAAGAAGTCACAGAACATTTCACAAAGAAATAGAGTCTGAGATATGGACCTTTAGGATAAAGATTAGGAAAAGGTGAAGCACAGGAGGAACAGCATAAAAATCTCACAAAGTCAGAAAAAACAATCCAGATATAATTACAGGGCAAGTATTAGGAATCACTAAAAAATATTTTAGTTGGGTAAAATTCTGTAGGATCTTACTGTTAGCAGAAGTGCATAGAGTTAATTTAATGGAAAAAGGGAAACAATGCTAGTTTTTGAGTGGGAAGGTGACCTGGGGAAGGCAGAAGTTAAATTAAATGAACTCAGTTACAGTGAACAAAATATACCGGAGGAAAGGCAGACATCCTGACTTCATATAAAGAGCAGGAAAATTAGAATTGGGATATCCAGTTTATCCTGGTTTAACTTGGGAAGATATCAATGAGAGATATCTAGTGTGCCTCTGGGGCCCCATTTTTCAAATGAGATACCCAGTTATCTCATTTTACTAGCCGTAAACCCATTGATACTAACTCTCCGATCATAAGAGATTATCAGATAAAAGGCTCTTTCAGTTGTCCAGCTCTGAGGCAAAGCTAGAGCAATGGAGAAGATTAGAGGAATATGAAAAACTCCAAAAGAATAATCAAAAGGACTTAGTAGCTGAATGGATGTGAGAAATGAGAAACCTGGTGGAACCAAAGATTATTTTATGATGTCAAACTGGGAAGCTGAGATAAAATGGGATACCTCTGAGGAGAAGAGGTAAATTTGAAGGGATACCTCATTGTGCTACTCTACCCTCTTTGATGCAAGGAATGCGTAGCTTTCTCTCCCTGTTGCTCTATGTAACCTCAAGAGTTTAGGTAAGTCTCACAGATGTTGTGGTTACCAGCAAAGTATAGGGAAGGATCTTAATTTATGGTAATTTAGTTTGTAAATACAGCTGGCTGTTTACTATCAATGACTTTCTATTCATCATGTAGTGTCTGTACTGAGAACCTCTCAAAACCACTCTACCATATCTTGATGCATAGACAAGTGATCTCCAAATTCAACAAAACTCACTTTATGCTAGGGAGGAGGGTGGTAACTGGAGGAGGAGGAGAAAGCCGGGGAGGAACATCATATTCTTCACTTCCAAGGTGACCATTGGAAAAGACCTGAAAGTAAATCAAATTGTTAGTTTCCAAGAATTTAACTTCTGAAGGACCTTAAAGCCATAGCTGCTCTACCATTCTGAAGACAATATGTAAGTTCAGTATATTTAAATAAGTGAAATGTCATACAATTTATTCAGGAGTCAGTAGCACCACACTGATGATTCACCACTGCCCAAAGGGGTTCAAGCTTACACAAAAAATAAAAATGTTACACCATGATTCTTAAACACTGAGAGGGAATACTATAATTTATATACACCAGATACAGATATTAATGGCTAAATAGGTAGACAGTAAAATTCACCAACTATGATCAGTTTTTATTGAAAAGTTAGCATTCTCTATAAGGGGTAAAGAAAAAAGCAGCACTGATGTTATTCTTTTTTTAATTCCTTCCAAATTAAAGTGCTCTAAATTATATTTCTCCATGGTGAACGGAACATTCTTAAACTTTCTGATGAAACAGTACATTAATATAATCAGAAGTGCCTTTGTTCTTTCATGGTTGAAGCTTCTGTGCTAATGATAACTAGAGACCTGTTCTGGCTTTCCAAGTGCAGGCAAATTTAAACAAAATTTTCAGTTTGTGAACACACAAACCACAATTTCTAACTTGCTCATATGGGACCATCCAAAGCCAGTGTTCAATTACTCTGAATTAGGAGATTCTGATGTCTAGATTTCTGTTACACTACAGGAAATGTCTGAAAAACTGTTCGTTTCTCCTACAATTTGAAATTACAGCAACTTAAAGGGGGGCGGTTATGAGAGGATAATTTTGCAGAAACATATTCACAAGAAAAAATTGAACACATTTTAAGACCTATAAGCAATCATTAGATTTTTATCATGGAGTTATTTTGCAAACTCTTATTAATTCATATTTAATAGGTAGACTGATGGTGGGGCTAAATACATGTAAAGTAATTTGAGCAGTGCTAGATAATTCAGTCAAGGACTTACCAATTACTTTCCCCCATCATATTTCTAAAATGATGTGGAAGCTTTAGAATACAAAATTTAAAAGACCATACCCTTACCTATCAACTTAAAATAAGAAACAAGTTTAAAGAACATATTTGAAATGTATCAACGTTCGTATTTCAAAGCTACAAAATCAAATTTTATAGCTTTAAAGTTTCACTAGAGACTGGTCTTATGCTTTAGTACCAATTTCTCTTTTTTCATGTTTCCCTTCATTAGACTCAATATACTGTAGCCATACCATGACAAAATATTACCTTTAAATACAATGATTTTATCTGGGCTTTTGACTGTGGCCAAATAACAGAACAAGGCAAAGTGTTCTGAAGTGTGCCAGAAAGAAGAAATTTCCTAATAGATATTAATCATTTTGAAGTTTAATAAAATCCTTTAACATAAAAAAAGGCCTTTTAACAGACAAACACACATATCAAACCACAAACGCTCATTGTGATATTGAGCATTGGAAGTCATTCTTCATTGGAATTCTTTGCATGCTGCAGGAATAGACACAATGTAAGATATCTGCAATCAAATTTCCTTAATTCATATTACAAATACATATAAAACTCATTTGGGAAAATGTAATGTGGATTTTATATGCAATAGTTTGTTATTTTAGGACAAAGCATCCAACATAGATAGATGCTTAATAAAATTTCAGCAACAATAAAATAAAAGACAGATATGGGAATAATAGTTTCAGCTGTATTGGCTCTAATTTAACAATAAACCAACTATGATTTTATAATCAGAACATTATGAACGTATCTTTAAAAAATACCAATACACTCAAACATTTACTGGTATTGAAATTGCTTTCATCTTGCACATTAGGTAAATGAGAATAAAATACTAATAACAGAGTTTGCATATTTTTATGTACTACTATTAAATTTCATGAAGACAAGTCATACAGGCAATGATGTCTATCACTAGTAAAGCCACAAAGTACAATTAATGAGGTAACTTACTCTTGGAGGGCAATACCTAAGAAAATTAAGTGACTTATTCCTAATTTTTTGAAACAATCCATTAATCTGCTTTAAAATGCAAATGTCACTTTTTCTAACTGTTTCAGAAATACCATTTGTTACTGATGTATAGTAACTAAAGGATTTCTATGGCCACTGAAATGCTGTAGTGTCTTTTCTGAACCATTCATTTGATGTTTGGCATCTGATAATATTTTGCTCATGTTCTGTGTACTTACGTTTTGTCAAGGAGAATTTAGGCCACACTGGGCCTCTTTCAGGACAAAAATTCTATTACTCCTTTACCATTTTATAGCATATGCCTTACAGTGCTTTACACACAGTAAGGCTTAAATTAATATTGACTGCTGATTGGCTCAGATGCACTTATTAATGGAAGTATTAACTAGTGAAATCACTTTCCTTAGGTTTAGCTGAAAGAAATTCATTATTACTGAAATACTCTCAGCAAATATGTGTGAGTATATATATGTTATATATATACACATACATATATATACATACATACATATATACACATACACACACACACACATATATATAATTTGCTTAATGGCTGTTATTCCTATAAACTGTTCATAAATATGTACTGAGAGTTGACAATACGCCTAATACAAAACTTGGAATAGAACTGTATAGTTCTTTCCTAATTAGTAGATTGAGATAGCAAAGGACCTAAATGCGCAGGTACTTTATAAAATGATGATCATGTTTCCGTTCATCTAAAATGGCTGTTCATATTTATTGACGGTGGCTAGAGGACAAGATTTAACATTATGTCATTCTGAATTTCATGTTCTCACCTGCAACCATTTCTTTACACCCAAAAATCATTTTAGCTGCCACTACCTGAGTGAGTACAATAAATCACAACTTTGGGGGCTAAAAATAAATACTTTATATATTTTCCAGATATCTGAAAAACCTGTTTGCAAATGGTAAAAAAGAACTATAGTTCCTCAAATGCACAGACTGATAGTATCAACTGAAGCAGTTCACACTGAAACCTCACTGAATCCTCAACTAAGAAACATTTTTTTGTCCTCTGCATTCTTAGCTCACTGTCTGAAATCTATCACAATTGCATTGGAAATGCTACCAATTTAAATCTTCTAAATTCCCAATTCTGTTTCTAGCATTCCTCTGCCAGAAAAGAAAACTTTAAATATTCTTTCCTGCCTACCAAATTATGATTACTTAATGTAGAATTCAAGACACTTCATAATTGGTTTTAACTTTCCTTGCCATGGTCTTACCTCACCTGCCTACTCTTTTTATGCTATAGGCTATCCAAAACTGACTACATTATTACTATACATATTCTCCCACCTCCATGCTATTTCTTTCTGTCATACCTACAAAAACAACAGCTGCCAATCTTTTAATGTTTATAGCCAGTGACCCTCTTGCATGAAGCTTTCTTTATTCCTTTTTCAGTCCTGCATCTTGGAATTTTTTTTCTTCTTGGGGATCCCACACATTTTCTGGATGCTTCTCATATGCCTTACCTCTTAATCACATGCCTGTCTCATCCTGACTAGCTTTTCTGTGCTTTATTCCTCTTTGTATTCCCCAGAGTGTCTTGAACATCCTAGGTACTCATATAGCTGAATTAGGTAATGAGGTTGAAGAACTAAGAAAATAGTGGAAGTGTAGACTTGTGAAAGAAGTATAAACTGGCTTGTATAATTTATTAGAAATCTAGGTTATCTTAGAGTAATATTTCTCTAAATGCCTCAAGGTATCATCTAATCCTAAAGTGTAAAATGTTTTCTTGTGATTCAGATATTGTTTAAAAACTGAAGATTAAAACATATGGGACCCTTGAGATACAGAGAAAACAATTTTGTGAAAATCTTAGCACAATTAAGAAAAACATCTTTTAAAAATCTTACAAAACACAAGCCTTTACCTTATCCTACACATGTAAACCCCTACACATGCTACCTCAAAAGTATCCCTATAATTTGTCCTTCAACGTCAGACTGTACATGAAACCAGCACACACACAGGACTGATTTTCTGAAAGACAGCCCTTGAAATTTATAGATAACTTTAAGGTCATGAATGTAAACATGTGCCTCTCCACCAAAAGTACAACAAGCCACAACTGCAAAAAGGGAAATCATTTGATATATTTATCTTGCAGCATCTTCAAAAGATTATCATGCAAAGGTCATCTTTAGGACAATGTCACCGTAAGTTACATGACCAGTTAAAGATAGTTTTATCATATAAGAAACAGCAGTATTCTTACTGCCTCAAGAGAACAAATAATGACAGTTGGGTATAATGTTAATATCTAGAAATAAGTAGATACATTGCAAGTTTTTAGTCATATTTTAATATATTTTGGTGAATTATTTTGCTCAGATAATTAAAACAAACCACCAACAACAATAAATATCTAGCCAACAAGATGTTTATTAAGGAACAGCTTTATAAGGTGACTAAAATCTGAGACTTTCAGAGAATGGAAACAATGCTATAGGATAGAAATCTCTTACCATCAAAATCAGATAAATAAACAATAACTCTTAGCTTGTAGATCCACATTTAAAGTAAAGTATTACCTTGGCTAGCTTTTGATTATGCTAGGTAGGAGGGGAAGAGTAAAGGGAGTAAATGAATATCACAAAAACTTCTTAGACTTCACTTTAACTATGAGCTAGAATAATTTTTTCCTCAGAGCTCTCTACAATTACCAAATGGAGTAATTAGAGCTTAATTTATTTCCATTTCCCCTATCATTCATTGTTCTAGTGACAATGCAAACAGAAAAGGCAAATGGTTCTTCTGGATGATGGGAACTGACATAATGACAGGACGAGTAATGAAGGGAAGCGAGTCCTCGCCCATTGACAGGGTATTGACTTTTATAAATTCCCTTGTGTTCCACATGTATAATTAGTTTTCACTTAAATTTTTAGTACTTATCTACATTTTCTTATCTCTAAAATGGGAAGATGCTACTAGATTTGAAGCTTTGCCGCTTATGAAAACTACTAAACCTAAGCGGCAGTTTTTACCATTTGACCAAAAAAAAAAAAAAAAAAAAAGCGCATTTGCTTATATTAGGGGCCTGATAAATTATGTGAATAAAACAGCCTCCAAATACCTAAATCTCCCACTCTTTAATCCAATGATAAAGTAAGACAAAACAAAATGGCACTATTAGGTATGAAGGGTGAAAATACGTTAACATCTACTATTTTCATTAAAAATCTTAGTCTTTTTAAAAAATCAAAATATCTCCCCTTTCTCTTCACCCGCTCTCCTTTTCTTGTTGTATATGATCTACATGTTTAAAATGACTACTCTTCTGCAGAGGAACAAAAATCCTATTTTAAATAAGAAAACTATGCAAGATACATAAAAACCTGTCCCTTTGTAACTCCTTGCATATCACAGCCATCCTCTCCCTCCACCTTTTCTCTCCTGGCCTACACCTGCCCACACTCAAACCCAAGCACATATACTGTTTGTCTCCACCACTGGCTTTAGTGTTAGATTACTAGCACCAAGTAAGTATTATATTATAAGCACCGAGTTATTAACTTGGTTATTGAATGCTTAACCAAGTTATTAACTTGGTTATTGAGTGCTTACCAAGCATTCATTAGGAACTACGTTAAATAAAAGAAAAAAGGAGTGAAACAAAGAGAAGATGTTTCGGTTTAAAAAACAGACAACTATTTTGAATAAAAATGCCAAGTGTTACAACTTATTTTGACACTCTATGTACAGCTGTTATTTTTGGTTTTATTCCTGAACCAAGGGGTTTAGAAATTTAGATAGCTGGAAGCTAACTATTATCCTAGATACCAGGTATTATTATTATTCCATTTTATATAAAGGAATAAAATAAAGTTCCACTTTATTTATAAGGAAAATAAGTAAGGTTGGGGACAAAGCCAGTATATTCTAGAGCAAAAAGTGAAATCCAGGCCTGATTTTGGAGCCTGGTAACAAACTCCAACCCAGGATCACAGAAACTGAGAATTACAGGATCCTAAGTGATTATGTCAGTTGTTAGTTGAAGCCAACCTCTTAAGTCTCCCAACAATGAAATGAGAAGAGGAATTAGGCCTTTTCTAATTTATCTAAGTTCTGGTATGCCCTATGATCTAATGAAGTGAATCATTTTTCCTTTATAACAGTAATAAAAGAGGAGACATGGTCTGTTTTATAGTTTTGTGGCATTCAATGAATCAACTATATATAAATTCTTTTTTACAGCTCACTCCAGAAGTTAAACAATTAGGTTGAAATTAGAAATCTCAGAAGTCTAATTTTGGTTGAAACACCAAATCTAAGAGTAACATGAAATTAACTGGAGGATATTAGCATTGCAATATAAATACCCACAATATATGAGATTAGAACTTAGGAAATCTTAATGAGAATTATTTAGAGAGAACTAAGCAATATTAAAGTTCAGCTTTCAATAAGAGATAAAATTTTCACTCAGTGTTCTCTATTATACTAATCTGTTTCAATGATCACAACATGAAAGTTCACACAGAAATATTTAAAGGAATGTTTTTATAACTGAACTCACAATATTTCATACCTATAGTTAATAAAATAAAAACAGTATCTCATACCAATAACCTAAGAAATTGGGGTAACATCTCATAAAAAAATTAACAGCCAGTTTTCTAGAGCTTAGGAGGGCAAATTTATAATAGCATTAAAACTATAACATGTTATCTAAAAGAACCCCGAGACAAGATATCTTCAATGAAATGGCTATAACAACTATTATATTTCAAGTATTTTTGAAGTCCGTTTAGAAAATAAATTATAACATGCTGCTGAGATATAACTAGTTAATTACAGCTTCTTCTAACACTCTTCCCAAGACAAGTGTGATCACATATGAATAAAAAGTAAAGCTAAAGGGGGAAAAAAAAAAACCTGAAAATTTTTGAAAATGAATGGCAGGTCCTTCCAATCAGCATTCTAGGTTGTGGAAAAACTCTTTTGAGGAGGAGCTCCCCACTAACAGAGATTATTATAAAATTGGTTTTATTAGTATGTTCTCTTACATTTACATTATATTTAGGTGAACCTGAGGAAACCTTTAGAGATCCTCATATTTATAATAGATGAGACTGAAGGTACCAAGGTGAGTCACCAGCAAAGAGTCAAAGCAAACTGCCACCACTCCTTGCCTTTGGTTTTGAATGCTGTGCTACTGAGTTGTGACTCTTCCTTTCCTGGCTACCCCATATCACTGAGGTTAAATACTGTCATACAAAGTGTTCATTATCACTGTACCTCCACACACAGAGGAGCTGAGTGCAAGTCACGCTTCTTCCTTATATCCTGAATATAAGATGAACTCACCAACTTTAACCATTATATTGAAGGACTAGACTACTTCTGTAAAATATCAATTTAAGGTCTACAGAGATGAGATCACTTTAATATTATAGTCTTCAGAAGAGCCAAGGCCTCCATCAGCAGAGGGAAGATGGCAAGGATCTAATCTCAGAGTCAAAAGCACCCTGGAACCAAATACCAGAAATTATTACAGTATACCTCTGCCAAGGAACTACCAAGAATTCTAAAGTAAATGATTTCTGCTGCTGTCTCTTCAGTTTCCTGCACACATAAACTCCTTCCTGGACATATAAATGATAGTAGTAACATCCTTCAAGTGAGAAGTCAACAAGGGTGAGAATCTCTCAATTTTAGGGGAAAAGAACTTGGGAAAAGAACTTGATTTTTAAGAGTAAACTTGGTTTAGTGTTTTTAAGTATATAGGAGGTTCATTTTACCTGGCTGCCTAATGTGCACTGTCCCAGGCAACAATAACTAACTCCAACAACTGATTTATGACATGTATAGTAACACAACTTGTAAAAATTGGATGGAACTAAAGGAGTTTGTTAAAAATACCGTGCTGGCTGGGCACAGTGGCTCATGCCTGTAATCCCAGCACTTTGGGAGGCTGAGGCGGGTGGATCCCCTGAGCTCAAGAGTTCAAGACCAGCCTGGCCAACATGGTGAAACCCCATCTCTACTAAAAATACAAAAATTAGCTAGGCGTGGTGGCAGGTGCCTGCAATCCCAGCTACTCAGGAGGCTGAGGCAGGAGAATCGCTTGAACCTGGGAGGCAGAGGTTGCAGTGAGCCGAGATCACGCCACTGCACTCCAGCCTGGGGGGCAAGAGCGAGGCTTCGTCTCAAAAAAAAAAAAAAATGCAGGCTGATTATACCACCACTAAGTTGTTAATAGAAGAAATTTTTGGCAAATGAAATACGGGAAGGTGAAATAAATCTCTGGCAAATTGTCTAGTGTCTTCACATTAAAATTAAATCATTACTTAGAACCTCCTGACTTCTCTTAAGTTCAAGTTTTAATGAGCTTCTGATTATTTATAACTTGGGGATAATTAAAGACTTACAGGGAAGTGCCATGCTAGGCAAAAAAAAACACTTCCCAACCTTTTATGCTACTGACCATCAGAAGCATTTATAAGCAGATTCTCTAGCTTCTGCTTTGCGTATTTCTTACCTTAGCTCCTTCTAAAGGCAAATCATGGCGTCTGTGTTTCCGCATAAGCACTGGGTCAGAGCCCACTCTACTGTGCCTTCCATTGACATTTGAACTCGCTGTGATTCCAGGTTTTGGAGAGCCCTCCCCTAGGAGTCGACATCCCACAAGCTGATTAGTCCCAAACACATCCCGAGGGCACCATGCTTCAAGAGGCATTGGCGGGTCTCTGGAAGGCACGCTTTCCACATGATGGATGTGTCTACTCAGTCTATTGTCTGGTGGGATTGGTGGAGGTCTTTCAGGTGGCGGTGGAGGAGGATCTCTTAAGGGAGGAGGTGGTGCTGGGAGTGGTTTATCTTGTTTTCTCACCATGCAAGGAGAAGACTAAAGAAACAGAAGAGAAAAAAAAAAAAAAAAAAAAAAACTAAAGGTTGTACCATGCACTGACAGAACTTCCAAACTAGTGTATTATTGCTTTAATTTTCTAAGCCAAACAAGGAGTTTTACTAGATTCCTGTGCCATCTTTTAATAAGTTGCTTTTATTACTAGTTAATGAAATTTAAATGAGAATAAAAAACTCATAAATACATTTCATTAGGAAAAAGTAGAAATGAGTACATAAATCCAAATGTTAAGTTATAGAAATGATACAGAAACAAGTAGAAGATCAAAATCATACAATGACTTTGACATTAAAAGAATATGTCAATAATTTATTTGCACATCTCTATGATTTAGGAGAGAGGAGAAAAGTTGTCATGGTTTCAGTTTTTTTAAAGAGTAACTTGATTTGTAATATTTGTAATATTTTTAGAAGATTAAAAGCTTTTTCTTTATTTTTGTTTTCATCACTGTGATACAGCAAAACTGATATGGGGGCAAATGTGCTCTGCTTCTTTATCGGTTATTACCAGAATAGTAAAAGATCACAAGTAACAGAGCAGCACTACATATGGAATTACTTCAATTTTATGAATTCTTACAGTATTTTAAAAGATCAGGCTGATTCTTACATAGAAATATAAAGGTATAGATCAATGAATTGAATGAGTATGCTTTTCGTAGCTTTTGACTTTTATTTACATGGTTAATCTGATGATTGATTTGTAATTTTAATGTTAGAAAATAGCAGAGAAAAAAGGAATCTGTTGTGTTTACATAATTCTAAATGATATTCTAATAATGTGTGATCTTAAAACCAGGTTAACTGGTAATACAGGAAAATCAAACACTACTAAATATATTGTGCTTCCAACAAATTTTAGACAACAGAGCATGTTACCAAATAAAATTAATTTTTAAAATCTTATACTTATCAAATTCGAGGAAAAAATCCACACAGTAAAATAAACTGTAGGTTTAACTGTAGAGTAAAAATTATGTCTTTAATATTAAACAGTAATATAATTACTCTGCAAATATTGCAATTCATTGTAATTAATTTCTCCAGGTTTAAAAACTACATATAATTCCCTCTTCTGAGTCGCCTTGAAACAAGGGTGATAATTTGTCATACCTTAAGCCCTTTGCAAATATACTCCCATCACATTTTTCTTGTCATGGCACTATAAAAATGAGCGTAAAATATCATTTGATAACAGCATGCAAATTATTTTAATGCATATAATGACCTTTTAAATCTATTTTACAAAATAACTATACTTACTCTGCTTCTTATTCTGGCAAATCATGGGGCTACAGACATATGCTCTCTGCAAAAATTATGTGTAACTCTCATAGTAATAAAACAAGAAATATGAATGTGGGCTCACCATAAACTAAACGAGAAACTCATCAAACTTATTCACAATTAAAAGCAAAAAAATATGAGTAATGGAATTTAAAAGAATCTGAGCAATCAATAATTGTCTTACAAAATTTTCATCTGTGTTTCTAATAAAATTGATCTACCTTTGGTGAACCCGTTGGGCTGCCACAGGGAGATCTAACTATGCCTTTCTGAATTAGATCCAGGCGAGGAGGCACGGGTGGCAGGCTTAGATGTGGGATCTGGAGTGGGTCAGGCTGTGGCTTTCTTCTCTGGGCAAGGGGAGAGGATCCTGGTGATGTGACTGGTGAGTTCTGCCTGTCAGTGCACTAGAACAGAAAAAGAGAAAGATGCCGCTGTTTATTAGCTGTGCAGAGTGTTCTCTGTTCTTAAAGAATATATTTGGTTGGAAGAAGGTTTCTGGCACCATACATTTGTTAAAATGAATTCCCTTAGTTTACCCTGATTAATAGAAGCAAATAGTTCATACTGTCCCTCAAGGGTAGTATTACGAAAAGAAAAGACTGATAAGTTTTTCCTACATATTGCAGAAAGGGGCTAAGAAAAAAGAACAGCAAAAGTATAGTATAAAGACAATCAAATGCAGATATTCTTCAAGAAAACCATCTATATTTTATGAGGAATCCAGAAACACATAATGCAATAATGCACATTGCTCTTGGATCTCTATATTATAAATTTTTTTGCTCGAGCTTTGTACATTCTAATACTTAGCTATTGCTTTGTTCCAAACATGTATCTTGTATGTAGTCTATTTTCCTGCAAACCAATTAAATCAGGTGGGGTTTTAAAAAAATAATTGTGTGTTTAAAACAAACTGATTTAAGCCTATTTTTTTTTCCTTAATACTACACATGGAAAAGATTCTCAAGTTAAACATTTTTCTTGAAACACAATGAACTATATCTAGGAAAGTCTGTCTGTACTTCTGGCAAAAACTAAGTTTCTGTTACTACAAGTTTTCCATATTGTCTGGTAGATAAAGTAGCATCGAAAAGCCAGTAAGTATTTCAATTTGTACGTAACACTTCCTATTGCATAATGTTGTGTGTTTGTGTGTGTGTGTCTATGTGTTTTAATGCAGCATAACCTAATTTCTATTTGTTATAAAAGCCATACAGTTAATCAAGTAGCCTTAACAGGATAAACAATATTCTGTTCTAAAATACTGGGCAGTTTCCAAGTCTAAGTTACTAGCTCTTTGAAGATTTAGACTTAATGTTTACAACACTATCTATCATGCTTTGATATTGTTCTGTTTCTGAATGCTAGTATTTATAGTTTTAAACTTATTTGTAAGCCATTTTCCTCCTAACATTACTTACCTTTGTACGAATTGCTGATGTCATCATTTGACAATTTAATATGAACTCAGCAGCTTTATCATTTAGTCTGTCTTTAACTGAGATAATGGATTTGCGTTCACATTCACACTTAGTTACATTGTATAAGGCTTTTGTTAATTAACTAAAATCCATAGTTTATTCAGATTTCCTTAGTTTATACCCAATGTCCTTTTTCTTCTCCAGGATTTCATGCAGGATACTGTATTAGTTTTTATTATTACGTCTCCCTACTCTCCTTTTGGCTCTGACAGTTTCTCAGACATCCATTGTGTCTGATGACTTTGACAGTTTTGTAAAGTACTGGTTAGAGATTATACAGAATGTTTCTTTATTGGGATTTGTCTAATTTTTAAAAATAATTAGCCTGGGGTTAAAAGTTTTGAGGAGTAGGACCACGGAAGTAAAGTGTCATTTTGACCACATCATATCAAGGATCCATGCTATCAACATGATTCATCACTGCTGTTGCTGACCTTAATTACCTGACCGTGGTATTGTTTATCAGACTTCTTCACTGTTAAGTTTCTTTTTTTCTCCTCCTTCCCATAGTATACTCTTTGCAAGGAAGTCACTGCACAGCCCACATTTATATAGTTGGAAATTTATGCGTCCTTTGTAAAGACTTTTTAAAAATAAATCTGAGGCCAGCCCTGGTGGCTGATGCCTGTAATGCCAGCACTTTGGGAGGCCAAGGCAGGAGGACTGCTTGAAGCCAGGAGTTTGAGACTAGCCTGGGCAACATGGCAAGACCTCCTCTTTACTAATTTTTTATTTTTTTTAAATTAGAATGGTGTGGTGATACACGCCTCCAGTCCCACGACTCAAGAGGCTAAGGTAGGAGGATTCCTTGAGCCCAGGAGTTTGACTCTACAGTAAGCTATAATCGTACCACTGCACTCCAGCCTGGGCAACAGAGCAAGACCCTGTCTCTAAAAAAATAATAAAATAAATAAATCTGAGTAGCTAAACAGAAGACTATACCTCCGATATGCCTGAATATTGTCATGACATTACTAAACTGCAAAGTCTTTGTCTCTGTTGGTGCCGAATAACAAAATCATTCAACAAAATTCAACATAATTTTACATTACAATTTTTAGAAACATTTCTTTTTTAAAAATTAATGATTCTTTTTCATTTCTTTTAGCTCGGTTATGGTAAGTCAAAAAAATTCAATTGTCACTGAAGGAGAAAATAAAGAATCTCTATAGTCACAAACTGACTTGAGTACAGCCAGTGATTCTTAACAAAAGAATAGTTCTACCCAGAAAGTCACAGGGCCTCACATGTTCCATAAATTTGAACCTTCTGGAGCAAAACTAATCCCAAAATCATCATAGATCAGAAAAAATTCCTCATGTAAAGCTATTTGCATCACAGCATCTTGACACTGTAGATCAGCAATTGTCACAGGACATCTAATTCTCCACCATTCCTATTAGGATAAATTATATTCTCTGAGAACTAGAAAAGCTATTACCTGAAAAAAATGCTTTGTTGATATGGCTACTCTCCTTTACAAAGAAGAATCAAGAAGCAAAGCTATCAATACTGTTTCTAGCCCAAACAATATATTTTTTTATATATAGAAAGAATGCACAGTTCTTTAGTTACTTGCAAAAACACTTTTCAGGGCTAGATGTACACACTGCAAAGACTGCTGAATGAGACCTGTGCTCCTCCAAGCACTTTTTTTCTGCAAATATTTTCCTACTTCTCTCATTAACTGAAACAAGACACAGAATTGTGATAGAGCTAACAGCCCATTATCAGTATTAGGACTTGACTTTCACCCTAGATTGGATTAATTACTAATATTTAAGCAGTTAGTAAATTTCTAGCATGTTTAAATGGGGTAAATTTGATTTCAGATGTGTTGAAGAGCCTGTTGGATACTGAAAGAGTATAATGAAAATCCTCAGAACAGACATCCAAACCAATGTGTGTGGCAAAGTAATAACCTTGAACTTTTAGATACTTCCAGACGAGCAGGCTCTCTGAAGCTTTGTGAATGTAATTGGAAGCATATCTTGCTTAGCGCAATTCATACTGTGTTCTGAAGGTGATTATGTACTGTCCTTTTGAAGAATTAATTCATTTAGAAGCTACACAGTATCTGTAAGTTGGCTTAGTTAGAAGGATTTTATGGAGAGTATGTGAAGAAAAAAAATATCTTTCATCTTTATTGATTATATGTACTAAACTCACCAAACCTCATTTTCCTGAGTTCTCCTAAATTAGAGTAAAATTCCTACCTAAGAGTAGATAATTTAACAATGCTCTTTTGATAGTAATGCATTATTCTTTGCTGAACCTTTTACTATTTTTAAAAACAATTATGCAGTTAGTGTACTGAAGCTTTGCCTTAACTTTCATTGCTGGTAAAATTCAAACACTATGAAGATTTGTAAACATTTTTAGTAGGTAATGTTCATATAGAAGGTCACTTTTAATTTATTTGAGTCATCACAAATTGTGTTTTTTCCTTCCTATTTGAAAGTCTACGGAAAAAAAGGAAATCTAGCACAATGTTGCACAATCCAGTCCATAATTAATTTATTGGATGAGATATTAAAAATTCAGGACATCAAAATTTATCAGCTCACTTTAAAGAATAAAAAGTCTGCTCTTTTTTATCCTTCTGAAAATAAAAAAAAACAAAGTACATCAATTCAATGTAGACCAAAATTATTTCTCCTTTAAAAGACAATGCTGTCTTTTTGTAATAGCTGCATTTTTTATTTTTATTTTTGCATTTTAAAAGACTAAATTCTAGAGTAACAGACTTTTCCCCTGTACAGGTAATCACCAGGTAATTCAAATGCCTCTATAGCTGGGACCTGAATGTGGGAATTCATCTTTAGCCCACCAGTTCATATTATCCCCTAAATTGACTCCTTATCAGCCATTTCCTCCACCCTTTTCTGGGCTTTCTTCCACAGTTCTAATCCCCAGCTCAAATCACCCAGGCCATTTATCTTTTTCTACATGTGATAGGTGATAAAGGGAGCTGTTGGGGTAAAACAATAATAACAAACAAACATAGAGCCAATCCCCTGGCTCAGGTTTAAATTCTAAGACTGTGAACTGTGCTAATTATCACTTACTGATTTGTCCACTGTTCCTCTTAATCACTACTACTTCCATTGTGTATAAAAATGCAGACCAAATACATAAGTATAAAACATCTTGGGTAGAAAAGTAGCAAAGGATTCATTTAAATTCTGAATAACAACAGTTAGTATTTTGTTCATACGGATACTCTTGATTAGAAAATGTAAATTTCAAGTATGACTATCTAAGCTCTAATGCCAACTGGTTATAAAGAACAATTTTTTTTTGCATTTGAGTAATCATATAAATAAATGTATAACCTGATTTCAAACCACAGATCTCCTATATTTAAATTTCCTATATTCAAATTGCTTATATTTAAATTTCAGTTATAATATAAAGAGGCCATGCAGTCTTGAAAATGTCACCACCTATTGGTGGTGTTATCTGTAGATTAAAGAATAAAATTAATGCATTTGACAGAACATTATGGGTTAATAAAATTAAATAATGCATTATAAAATAAATGCTGATGTAAAACATTTATAAACATTATGTAAAATAAATGCTGATGTAAAATATTTAATTTTTATTTAGATGAAATTGTTAGGAAAATGGATTATTTTGATGTAAAAGGGACAGAATGTAATCTATTATATTATCTCCAAATTTCTAGTCAAAGCTTGCCCATCTACACTGCCAAAAGGTAATCCCATTAAAGTTACTGTTAAACAAAATGCCCACCCTTGTTATTTCTTATTTTGTCCCAGACAATTCCTCCCACTATCAGCTCTTAATGCAATAGTAACAAAATCAAATATCTAACCAAATAATTAAATTAAGTAAAAATGCATTCAAAAGTCAAATAGAAATGCCTCTTGGATTATTTGCTATTATTAGCACTGACCTTTAAAAAAGCAAACTTAAAATTTAATTTAACATGATTAGGCTTTCTTTTTAACCTAGAAAGGGTCTTAAACACAAAAACAACAAATGATAACAAGAAAAGTAGTTTAAGAATTGGATTAGGCTTATAAATTTAGGGGTATGCATGTTGTCAAACTGTTTCCCATAAAAAATACGTTTTACTGGTTTTGGCAGTTCTGTCCTTGTATCTTTTCAATTTTCTGTTTATTTCACTTTTTCTCTCTTCATTATAAAGAACATAATTTCACTCTAGGAAATTTTGGAATTATAGGGAAATATAAAGATATTTTAAAGAACACCTACATATAGCCATTGGTGATGGTTCCTAATCACATACACAATGTTAAGTCTACTCAATGTTTATTAGCATTATACAAAAAAAAATTAGCGGTAAACATTCTTCATGAATATAATTTTAAAGTATGCATATATGGATTTACAAAACCATTCCTGTGCAATGAACACTTATGCTGTTTTCAAGTTTTCTTTATTATAAAGTAGTATCATAAAGAAATCTTTAACCATATATGTGCTAGTTTTTAAGGAAAGAATCATACAATTTTTTTGAGCACAAGATACTAGACATGTAACCGTGTCGAATTTATGAATATTTTTAAGGCTCTTTTGCTGTCCAGATGGTAAAACCAATTTATTCTCTCACCAGCCATGTGTGATAATTACCATTACACAAAACTCAAATGCAAAGAATATTTTGTTTGCTTTGATGCTTGATTGTCATTTTAATGGGCCATACCAATGTTTAAATTTGCCCTTCCTTCCTTGACAAATAATTTGAAAGAAATGCAATCTTTGTTGGACATGTGTACTTCTTCTTTGGGTCACTAGCTTTTTACATTTTTTTGGTCCCCATATCCACTAATTTCCTCTTTGTTGATTTGAAAGTGCTCTTTATATATTAGGATAGTCAACCTCTTTCTATCTGTTATAATTGCTGTCACTATTTTTTCTGCAGTTAAATTTTTCTGACTTTTTCATGGTAGAGATTTCGCCTGTGCTCTTCTGGTTTTCATGTGTTAATGAATGACTAAAGTATCATGTCCTTTTGAGCACTGCTTAAATGAGTTCCTTTCTTTGTCACTCCTTCATGTTCATCTCTCTAATCTTAAGACAAACAAATATAAGTATGGAAAAATTAAGTCATAAAGCATAGAAAGTAGAATGTGAACACAGAATTAACTGTATAGAACTTATTCACAATATCCAAAATCCTTATGTAGAGGTAACTGCAAAAGTTGGGAAAGACACAAACATCCTTTCAAGTTAAAAGATACTGATCAGTATCACTTCATTCCTTTATCTTGATTTTAGGTGATTCTCACATTTTTCTAGTATTACACTTGTTTCTAAAACTTTATGATAAATTATCTGTTTCAGCTTCTTTCCAAATCCAAAGGCTGAGCCAGCCTTGATTCCTTCCTGTATTATCATCACACCAGTATATTTGTCTAACTAACAATTTCTCTTAAGTTCTTCAATCCTAGTAACAGATGAGAACATCTTTTACAAACTAGAATCCTGGTGTTCTAGAAATTTAAAGACCACATTGGATTCTTTTACGTCTACATACTCATCCTTTTGCTTTGGAAATTAATAAATACTATTATTTATTTTTCTGACAAAATGCACAGAATCCTTTATAACTACCACGAGGAACAGAGAAATCCACATGTTCAATCTTAACAGAAAATCCTGACAGAAAAACCCTAAGAAGTAAAGTAGTCAAAAGCCCATCTCACTATGTTCAGCAATTACCAATAATAATTGGGAACTCATTCTATTTTAGTCACTCTTCATTTTATCCACACCTTTAAAGAGCCATTTTATAAAAACGTTAATAAGATCCATTATTATGGAAATGGCAAAACATTTGGTAAGAAACTTCAAGCACAGTCAGGCTTATTATAAAAACAGGACAAGAGAAAACCTCTCCAATTACTAATAAGATGAGAGTTCTGACAGTCCCAGAGATAATCAAAGTCAATTTTATAATACTTTTAACAAGATTTTTACTTAATGAATTTCCATATCTGAAAAAGGTATATACAGTTACTATAATAAGGATGATGAGAAGGACTCAGAGAGTCAATGTTTTTCTATAAATGCGTGAAAATTAATGAAGACATTGATAAAACTTTTATCACATGATAAAATAGTCTAAGCATATTTTACTTGCTACTATTCTCAGTTTTTTCACTTTATTTTGTGAACAAAACAAAAATCAAGAGTATTTAAAATAGTAGCCTATACAGAATATTATTCAGAGAGGGTATATGCTACAAAAATGCTTACACACATACTCACATATTCATATGGCATTATAGCTTAAGTAAATGACTTGTGTTATCTATTTTAGAGTACCTCCACAGATAATAAACAAAAGCTTATATGAAGAATATTGTGTTAGAGCAATACAATCATTTCCTGGTTACCCATGGTCATACTTCCAGAAGTCTCAACCTACAATAATTTGGGGAGAAACCCAGAATGAAACAGGAAAGTCCTCTGAAGTAGGAGGAACATTTTTTTTTCTACTTCTTAATACAGAAACAGAATGTAGGCACCCTGCTACCTTCCTAAGAATATGGACATTTGATTTCTGTGTAAAATGAAGTTCACTAATTCAAAGGCTGAATTACTGTCTATGTTCCACTAGTAACTTCTGGAAATTTTCAAATTAGAAGCAATAAAGAAGCGGAGGAAAACAGAAACCTATATATTAAGAAACACCAAATGGAATAAGAGCTGATTTCTCTTTGAGGTCTGGCAGAGAAGTGGTCAATAAAGTTGCCGACAGGTCTCCTTTAAAGTAGTGCAGTCTCACACTTGGGGATAACCTTAAGGGCACTGCTCTACTGAAATATTAAACACTGTTAACACAAGTGATGATACTGCTTCTCCTTGAAGTACCTTCTTATGAGAGGGACTTGATCTCCTGGCCTATGATCAGCCTCCATAACCTTGAAATTTCTTTAAAGTTTTGTATTTTACTTTAAACATTTACACAAATTTTATATCCTGATCCAAATATATGTGTGATTTTAATTTAAATTTATGGTTCTCTTCTCTTTATGCAAGCTACCCTCAAATCTTGTAGCAAAATGTAAGCTTTTAGAAATGTGTCATGTTGACTACAGTGGCTTCTTATGCCCTTTGGTTCGCTCAGCTGCATAACCAATTTTGAGAAGGCAGGGAAGGGTGACATATAATTCAGAAATATTTCCATAAAAATGGCCAAGAAACAAGAACATTCTGAGAATTAAAGGAATAAATTTTGGTCACTGAAAAAATGCTTTCATGTGAAAACCCTTATTGCTCTCCAAATGCCAGCTAAAGCTGGTTGGAACAAGCAATTGCTATTTGGTTACTGTAGTTCTTCACCCTACTTTAGATAATACTTAATCATTTCAACTTAGTTATACAGAAAATAAGAACATTGTAACCTTATCTAAATTATTTAATCCTCAAAATAGTGTTTCAGCTGACATGTTGACAAGTTTGCATTTTCTGAGTTTCAAACTTGAAGCATGGTTTAACAGTAAATTATTTTAATGTGGTCATGCAATGAAATTATAACTATATAGATGTTAATATGTTAAAGAAATACAACCAATTGCTTGGTAACCAATAAAATTTTGGCATCTAATTCTTCCTAATGGAATGCTATCAACATCTAAAAGAAAACCTTCCATAGACAACTCAAAAATACTAATAACTTAATTCTTAGAAGTACAGCAATATTTCAGGAGTCTTAAATAACACTAGTATAAAAAATGTGGCCAGGTGTGATGGCTCACACCTGTAATCCTGGCACTTTGGGAGGCCGAAGTGGAAGGATAACTTGAGGCCAGGATTTCAAGACTATGCTGGGCATTAGAGTGAGACCCCATCTTTGTTAATTTACTTTAAAAATAATATTAATAACAACCAATACTTAGCATTTTCCATGTGCCAGCACTGTTCTAATGGCTTTTTATATATATGAACTCATTTAATCTTAAAGAGGCAGAGTTTTATGGACCAAGTACTTGGGGGAAGGGGAGTGGGAGGGGGTGTTAAATAAAACAAGGCACATAGATACTAAGTAGGAAAACTAGAAGATGAGCCCAGGCAGTTTCACTCCAAGAGGGCAGCTCTACTTAAGAATATAACAATTAAGAACAGTGTCACCACTGATCATTAAAAAAAAAAAAATCCTTCTCAAGGGCCTACTGTGTATCAAGCACCATGCAAACCTCTAAGAATGGAAAGAAGAATAAAGCATAGCCTGTGTCCTCAAGGAGCTGACAATCTACCTGAGGCAGTGGACTCAAAACTTTTAGAGTTCAAGTGTTGCTTCTTCTAATATACTATGTATTCAAGTTATTTTTGAGAAATAAGTAACAATGTCTTCAAGGTATCCTACGACATCACACAGCACTTGGATGATGCAGTTGTTTCTTTTGCTAATCACATGCTAATAAAGAAAATACCACTATTTTGCACGAAGAGCTTTTAGAAGATCAGTAAACAGAGTGCAAGTAAACGATGAACAACAAACCTGTGCCTTCGGATTGCTTACTGTCACTCACGGCTCTACCTAAATGTTGTGGGAAGGCAGTGGTGAGGACTAGACTATTAGTACTATGGTCAGAATAATTCTTTTGGGTAGGACCACCCATGGGCTTGCAGGATATTTAGTATCTCTGGCCCTTCCCACTCAATGCCAGCAGTATTTGCCATCCTTTAGTCATTGCAAAAAACAAAAGTGTCCCCATATATTACTGAATACCCTCAAGAGGTAAAATTGCCTATAGTTGAGAACCATGTTCTGCATTTCGAATGTCTATTTTTATTTTTGTATTTCACTTCTGTTGTAATTTTTGATCTTACGGCTCCAACACGGACTCTAATCCTGTGATTCAGATTTAAATAGACAACGTAAAAAGGCAACATCCTCCTAAAAATAGCTGCAAAACACTGTGATATGCACACACACCCCTTTCCTTAGGATCAGGAATACTATGCAGCAGCAGTCCCCAACCTTTTTGGCACCAGGGACTGGTTTCGTAGAAGACATTTTTTCCACGAACGGTGGCAGGGAGGGGAAGGGGATGGTTTTGGGATGATTCAAATGTGTTACATTTATTATGCACATTATTTCTATTATTATTACACTATAATATATAATGAAATAATTATAAACCTCACCATAATTTAGAATCAGTGGGAGCCCTGAGCTTATTTTCCTTCAACTAGACAGTCCCATCTAGGGGTGATGGGAGACAGTGACAGATCATCAGGCATTAGATTCTCCTAATAAGCGCACAACCTAGAACCCTCCCATGTGCAGTTCAAAATAGAGTTCATACTCCTTTGAGAATCTGATGCCACTGCTGATGTGAGAGGAGGCAGAGCTCAGGCGGTAATGCGAGCTGTGGGGAGTGGCTGTAAATACAGATGAAGCTTCGCTCACTAGCCTGTTGCTCACCTCCTGCTGCACAGCCGATTCCTAACAGATCACAGACTGGTACTGGTCCATGGCCTGGGGTTTGGGGACCCCTGCTATAGAGACGTTCTTCACACTTATTAGGAAATGCAATACTTAGATGACATGTTACATTTCTAATTAGCAAGATGTATTTTAATTGAAGAAGGCAACAAAGGAGAATGCATAAAAAAGAATAACTTCCTTGACTTTTGTTCATACCCATTTTTGTTCTAATGTGGCCATTAAGATTTTAAATATTATTTTAAGAAAATACAATGTTTAAGACAATAAGAACTAATCTGGGCTCATTCACTAGTTCAGTCTGTCAACATTTTATTTTTATATGCAAATTTTTATTTATTTCAAATGTAAATGTTATGTATTTGGTGACTAATACTGTGAAAAACTGTTAAGATTCCTCTTAATCCTCTGGCAAAATGAAGCAAATCACTGGGTAGCAACAGATACTGTTTTTTAGCTCTGATCTGAATGAAGTCAGAGAGAAGGCTGTGATCTTACCAGTCACATCCTGGACTTTGTCTGAGGGCTCACATCAGATCTAATTATCCCAGGATTCTGACAGCTTGAAAACTCAGGCAACGATACAGACTTGGGCAAAATCTAAAACATATTCTAGTTAGTATCACAAAATACTTTCTATCAGAGAGGGAATCAAAAAGTATGTATTATAGACTTTTAGGTTCTATTGCTTCTGTAAGGATTAGCATTATTAAACACATTTAACTATAAAAGAAATAATAGAAATACACTATATGTTTAGTATGCTACTATTTATGAACTCCAGCTGTGGGATATCACCATGGTAACAGGAATATACAATCAAAGCAGGTTTCCATGCTACGATGGCAGCATTACTCATTTAAAGAATGTAATATGCTGAAGACAGGAAGAAACAATTTCACAATATTATCATTGGCCCGCTCATAAAAGAAGAAAAAGATGAGTATTCAAAATGGCAGATAGAAACAATGGAACCATTCTGTTGGACAATCACTGGCAGTCACTCTTTTAACTGAGAGAATAAAATGTTTTAAAAATAAATGAGTAAGTCCAGGCACCAGGCACGGTGGCTCATGCCTGTAATCCCAGCACTTTGGGAGGCTGAGGCGGCTGGATCACTTGAGGTCAGGAGTTCGAGACTAGGCTGACCAATGTGGTAAAACCCTGTCTCTACTAAAAATACAAAAATTAGCCAGGCGTGGTGGCAGGCGTCTGCAATCCCAGCTACTCGGGAGGCTGAGACAGAAAAATCACTTGAACCAGGGAGGCAGAGGTTGCAGTGAACCAAGATAGTGCCACTGCAGTCCAGCCTGGGCAACAAAGCGAGACTCCAGCTCTAAATTAATTCATCAGTTAATTAAAAAATAAATGAATAAATGAATGAGTGAATGAATGAAAATGCATGAATGAATGACAAAAGAATGATTTAAAAAACAGAGGAAGAACATTCAGGTAGAAGAACTACTGTGTCAAAATGACCATGTGACATTTGTTTATAACCACTCCTATAAGAAAAAACTGGATAAAATCTATCAGTTTGATGCTCTGTGTATATATATATTTAGTATTCAGGTTGGAACAAAGTTTAAAATATGCATAAGATTAGGTCATTGCCCTAAAGGAACATGTGTGCAGGAGTGTGCATTTATTAGTTCACTTAGTAAATATTTATTGAGTGCATTTAGGTGCCTGGGAACACAAATACAAGGCATTGTCCCTGGCCTTAAAGACAGTCCTTTAAATAACAATTTAGTGTAACTCCTGATATAGAAGTACATATAAAATACTATAAGAACATAACATCATAGCAATATTCTTCCAAATTATTCAGAAAGAATTATGCTTGTATCTATATAAAAATTTAGGTTTTATTGAAAATTAAGTGGTACACATTTATGAAATGCTATAAAAGTCACAATCAGTTTAATTGACTAGAGGCAGATTAGTAGACATAAAGACATTTAACTGAAATATACCTCTTCAACTTAAAAACAAATAATTACAAGTGATATAAATTTCTAAACTATCTAACTCCCATAAGAAAGTATAACAAGATTGTAGTGAAGTAAAGCTTTATTAAATGACACTGCTGACTGCCAAATAAGCTACTGAAGTGTGACTTCTAGGACAATAATGCTTGAGATCATCATTCTACTCTTTGTGGGGTAAAAAACAGAAAGGATCAATTTGAAAATGTCTCAGCTCCCTTGACAGAAAGCTCACCAGTGTGCCAGAGAGAATGAAATATGAATGGTCTTGGGAGCGGGTGATAAGATCAAGGAGAAACACTAGAGTCACCTTGGAACATTCTGCTTCTCATGTTATGTTCCCAGCATTTCCTTTCGATTGTTAGTGCCACTACTGAAAAGAGGCTCAAGCTTCAACTTAATTCAATGGAAAGCAGGTTGAGACTGCAACTTTTCCCAAATTCACATAGGGCAGATACTGTTTTCTCCCAAGCAGTAAGGTATACAAAAATTCTTTTTAAAATTTCTCTTAAAGCCTAGACCTACCCTCTCACATGGATCACTGAAGATGAAAACCCATTTAGTAAAGAAAATTGAAATGTCTTCACAGCTAAAAAAAACACTGCTACCTGGAGCACTTCAACTACTTGAGCTGTTGTATCTCAAATACTTTTCTGTCATTCTCCATTATCCATCCATTCAATAACCATTCTTTAAATGCTTACTATGTCCTAGACCTGGGGCTGCAAACTTTTTCTTAAAGGGCCAGGTAGTGAATATTTTAGGACAAGATGTAAAATCAAGGACATTTTGTAGGTACTTATATAGGAATTTAAATATACACCACTTAAAATGTAAAATCATTTTTAACTTGCAGTAAAAAGGGTCACAAATCAATAAAACCAGCATTAATAACATATGTCATTCTTTCAACAATTTAGGGAGGTATTATTCTTCTCATTTTTCAGAAGAGGAAATCAGGCTCAGACTAGTCATGTGATTTGTTTGTATTTGTACATTGTAGAGCCAGTATTCAAACTTATGTCTTCTGGGGAACAGTACATCAATATCACCAGCTCCGCATATGTAGCTCTCTCACATGCATAGTGATGAAATGATTTCTACTAACTCAGATTATGGAGTATATCCTAGAATATGTATTACATAGTATTATTAATTAACATTGGTAATAATATAGTGAGCATTTATGACTTTGGTGACCTGACGTTCTTCTAGGTTCTTAGGTCCTTGATCCCGTTTGATCATCACAACACCCAACAGAGAAGCTACTATTATTTTTCTGTTTTACGAAGGGGTAAACTGAGGAAGAAAGAGGTTATATAACTTGCCTAGCATGCCATTACTACTCTGTAGCAGAACTGGTGCTTTATTCCACGTCTTCCTTAAGTTAACTTTGTTTTGAGACTCAAGTCTCAAGTCTGTTTCAATCTAAGATTATTTTTTCTTGTTCATCCTTCAGGATTTCTGAGGAATAACTACTTTCTTCCATTTCTTAGGTCAAAAAAAATCACATAATTCAAACTATTAATAAAAACTGTATCTTTCAGGATTAAAGAGTGAAATCGTGTAGTTTCTCTGAGTGTTAAATTATAACATTTATGAAAAACCAATAAGATAAATAATAAAAATCATTCCAGAAAAATGCAAAATTTGAGAGTAGCCATGTTGGTGATGTTAACATATCTTCCTATGTAAAAATTTGTATGTAAAATATCCTAAGGGAATGTATTTGGTCAGCATGGAACATTGGAAGGGAGAAAATGCAGGAGTTTCCCAAGAGGAAAACTCGCACACAGCCCTAAAAATGAAGTAACCCAAAGAAATGCCTTGTCAAAATTCCACTACCAAGCATTTCCTTCCTACAGAGATAGATGAATACGGTGAATACAATCTGATGCCATTACACATTATCATCACTCCACCTAGTGACAATGGCAAATAGGTTTCATGCTACCTGCCAAATCCTAATGAACTACAGTGGAAGATCTTCAGGGCTGTGTTGAAAGGCTCTGTTGGCCAAGTCTGAACTCAGCGGCGGTAAGTATCATGACTGATTAGCCATGTCTGCCCAAGTCAGGAGGAAGGGTGGCACCATATATGAAGACCTTTCACACCACTCAATCCCATTTCTCTGATTTTGAGAGCAAAAAATTTGTGAAAGTAATTGGGATTTCATGTATCTTCCTGTACAGGGAATAGCCTGATATCCAAGAGTCTACCTCTCTTGACCACTGTATTTCTGGTCTGTAAATTAATCAGTTGGCATTCTGGTTCATTGACTAGTCTGTTGTGTACCTGGTTATATAAACTTAAACTGGGCAGTAACATCCATTCTCAGTGAACTGACAAGGTCAATTTTTGTGAGTCAACAACATTAATGAGCAAACTCAGATTCTGGTAAATTCACAAAAGTAAATCTTATGTGACCTCTTAGAAGCCAAACAGTGAGACAGCCTTCCCATTAAGAAAAAACTCTATCAGACACTTCTTCTAGATTTGAACAAAGAATATTTTTAATCAAATTCAGTTTCACCATTTCCAAATTTAATAATTTCCTTTCTTAAATTTTTTCTTCACAGATTTGCTATTGCCAGTGTTAGATGACGTTTAATTTTATACAAACACTCTCATTACCTCTCATTATGATGTTTAAAACCAATGAGAGTACCTTGAGGAGAATCTAGTTCTCTCTCAAACTATGATTATATCAGCCTGTCAACATTATAGTAGTTGTGCCCTGCACAATGACATTTCGGTAATGGACCACATACATCATGGTGATCCTATAAGATTATAATGAAGCTGAAAAATTCCTATTGCCTGGTGGGTGACATCATAGCCACCTTAACGTCATAGCACAAAGCATTACTCACGTGTTTGTGTGATGCTGGTGTAAACAAACCTACTGTGCAGCTGGTTGCATAAAAGTATAGCACATATACTTGTGTACAGTACATAATATGTGATAATGATAATAAATGAATGTTACTGGTTTATGTACTTACTATACTATACTTTTTATCATTATTTTAGAGTATACTCCTACTTATGAAAAAAAGTTAACCGTAACATAGTCTCAGATAGGTTCTTCAGGAGGTATTCTAGAAGAAGGCGTTGTTATCATAGGAGATGACAGCTCCACGTGTGTTACTGCCCCTGAAGACCTTCCAGTGGGACAAGATGTGGAGGTAGAAGACAGTGATATTGATGATCCTGACCCTGTACAGGCCTAGGCTAGTATGTGTGTGTGCCTCTTTTCTAAACTCAAATACGCTGAGTCATACTCCATTTATGACGGCATCATTTCCTTTTCATATGGTCACATCACCTTAACTAAACCCATGTTTCTAGTTTTACCTTTCGGACGTTTGCCAACCGATTCATCATCAAGGACTCCTCACGATCATCATCGTCGTCCAAGTCTAGCATCGGCATGCCAAAGGGGTCAATGATGCTGCAACACCTGGAGCCTTCATCTCTTGGATCAAAGGGGTCCACGATTATGGGCTCAGTTCCTTTTATTTCACAACGACAGAAAGGGCAGCCCTGACCATCCGACTCCTAAACAAATAGAAAATGCATGGATTGGTTTTGTTCAAAATAAACAGTACCGAGAAATGCTAATAATGTTCTACAACTATAAAAGTCACACCCCCAAAAAGACTTTTTGGGGTAGGAGGTGGGGGAAGATTTCTCTTGAAGTGGTAGTGGGTATAGAACAGGGAGCCAACAAAATGTATAATAAATGGTCAGTATCTTCAGTTTCCGAAGGAAAAATAAAGTTTTAAGAAAGTTTGATTTTCCCAAGAGAAGAAACCTCTTTATTT
Organism: Homo sapiens; assembly: GCF_000001405.40. Classification (NCBI taxonomy): domain Eukaryota; kingdom Metazoa; phylum Chordata; class Mammalia; order Primates; family Hominidae; genus Homo; species Homo sapiens. Next base: position 105,720,517 of record NC_000003.12, read on the forward strand.
TCCTGACTGTTCACTTATTATTCTAATGTATCAAGGCATTAGAGTCCTGAAGAAAACTGGAAATTGAATCGTATCTCTCCTTATGAAAAGAGTGCAGTACTAACCAAACATTCCATAAAAAAGTATATTTTGGTAAAAATTCATAATAAAGCAGTAGTATCGGTGAGAAAAATACAATACTTGTGCATCTAACTGTGGCTAAATATTTGTTTTAACTGCCTGTGTATTTTAAAATCTTTATACACAATTAGGAAAAATTAAAATGTGTACATTTATATTCAAAAGCCATCATCTGTCCTGAAAGCCTGTCATCCTGACACACAGCTCAAATATAAAGTTCTCTGTGAGATACTAAGTTTTGCCCTTATCTTGCTTTTAAACAATATGATACAAAAAGATTTGTGCAAATACTTTTGGGCTGGAAATGTATTTACTGGTCATTATTGGATGTTTTGCTCAAAGTTTCCTACATTCATTTCTCAAAACTAACTACATTAAAAATTCACAATTTGCAGGGAAATAAAGACTGTTTTCTTGCCCTACAGACAACATTGCTTTCTAGAGATAAGATGGTATATGATATTCTCCACCCGATTTTTGGTTTTGCATTATACCCTGACTTTAGCAATGTGTTATTTAAAAGTGGCAAAAATCACAAAATTACTTTAAGGGAGAAATGGGATGAAATAGCACCATTTCAGTGGCAAGACAAGGGATGCAGAGAGCTGACGTCTTTAAAGAAACTGTTCCATAATTAATTCAGGACTGTCCTGTCCACTTGGTTTAATAGGAAATTAGTGATCTACCTGCCCAACAGTGATGTTTGGATCAAGGATGGAATAACTCTCTCACTCTCTTCTCACTGAACAACTACCTCACATCTACTTTGTGGCAGATCCTGTGATAGTTTATTCTTTCTAAGTCTCAGTCAGCTCAACAAATTGAACACCTCCTTTGCCAAACAAAGTGTCAAAAAACAAAAAACACTGAGCTTGCTTAAGAAAAATCAATTGCAACATATTCTTATTCATCTGCTTGTACATAATTTGGAAAAGAAACTTGGAATGGTAAAACAGTTGAACTAAGGTGGTATAAAGAAATACAGACATATAAATATAGAATCCTTCAAGGTTTACCACCATACATGTTCATGTCCAGGGGGCTTCAAAACACATTAAATATTATTTGCTCCATCATTTTACAGATAACAAAACCAAGATTTAATTCTTCTATTTTTGATAACCTCCTTGCAATGATATTTTCTAACACAGGAGTAAATATTTAAGAAAAGCAAAATCTTTCTCCTATAAAAAGAGTATTAAATTTAAAGTCATATTCAATATATATTATCATTTAGGCAAAACTCCCCTTGTTATAAAAGTCAAAAGAGATCCATATTAGGTGCCTATAGTGGAATACTTTTACAGATTTACATAAGACAATTTCAAAAAGATAGTTTTATTTAACAGCAAGCTGTGCCAGCCTGGGCAACATAGCAAGACCTTGTCTCTATAAAAAATAAATGTTTAAAAAATTAGCCAGGTGTTGTGATACACACCTGAAGTCCCAGCTGGTCGTGAGGCTGAGCTGGGGGCTTCGCTTGAGACCAGGAGTTTGAGGCTGCAGTGAGCTACGACAGCATGACTGCCCTCAGCCTAGGTGTAAGGGTAAGACCCCGTGCCAAAAAAAAAAAAAAAAAAAAGAAAAGAAAAGAAAAAAAGAAAGCAAGATCTGAAGATCTGATGGTCCCTCTGTCTTTAACACATGAAGAATGGAAAGCAGTACTTTGAGACGTACATAGTCTCATACATTTAAAAAAATTATTATAGAAAATCTCAGATACACATAAAATTTGAGGGAAAACTATAAATTTCTATGTACCTATCACCCGACTTCAACAATTATCAATTCATCCCCAGTCCAGTTTCATCTATATGTTCTCTTGTTCCTTTCACTCTTAGATCGTTTTGAAGTACCTCCTACACATCATATAAATTCACTGGTAAATATTTTAGTATCATAACTAAAAACCAAGAACCTTTTAAAGACCTAATCGTAACTAAAAATTATTCCACCCAATCGAAATCATGAAAGTTACATTATTTTTTAGTACAGTGCATAGAATGTGCAAGCCACACTATTAGGCTACGTAAGTTTCTCTTTGAACCTCCAGGGTCAACTTACATATTGCTCTGGTTAAGGATGACTTCCAGTTTATGTGATATATTTCCTCACAAGAGATAACTGAAAATATTGAGTTTTGAAGGGGGAGGAGGTGAAAGGCAATAACTGTGTCTTTATAGCACAAGAAAAAACAAAGAACTGTTCATCTAAAACTGAATTTAGATTTTTCTCTATGCTACTTGAACATTTAATGTTATACAAATTACTGATGTTGTTAAGAGTGCCTGTTATAAGAGTAGATATCACAAAATACATCTTCTCTTCAGCTTTGTTGTTGAGAGTTTACATTACTCAACAGATCAACAAACAGCTGCAATGACCATTAATTTTGATTTGCAAAAACACAGATCACAATGAATGTGTCTCTAATGGTACTTACTCTAATATGACTTCATCCATCACACTTTATAAATGGACTACTGTCACATGCAAATTAGACGTCTAACCATAAAGTCTCAAATGTTACTTTGGTTACTCTGCCCTAGTTTCTGTCAGGTGGTTGATTAAATACACATGAAGAATGTCTTCAATACAATAATTAAAATAATGTTTCTGTCAATGTATACTTAATGCAAGATCAAATAATATGCATTAATGGAGAATAAAGACCAATAAATAACTCATTTTCTAGTTTCCACCATTCTGTGAATGTTAAGAGGAAGTACTGAGGACTCCGTCTATTCTAAATGACTCAGTAGGTTTCACTTCCTCGAATAAGAAATACTTCTAAACCAAAGGATACAGAAGTTATCAGTGAATACTATACACAGCTGAAACTAAATTCTGTCATTTCTCATAATACAGTAAAATAATTCAGACTCACATTTCAACCATTAATACTGTAAGTCAGTGACATTACTTAAAATATAACTTTAGGTAAACTCAGATAATTAACATTGACAAACAAATAGAAAAAAATTTTAAACCTTCATAATACTACATTCTCCACAAATACTCTATGTAAAAACCCAAATGAATATTGTTAGTACCATCTCATCATCATCATGTATCAATCACCTTCCATACTTTGTTTAAATATTGCTAAGACAGACATACTATATCTTAAATACCTTCTTTTAAATGTTTTTCAAGATAGCATTATATATAGTATAAATTATTTGCTCTCAGCATGATTATTAGAGGCATACTTTGACTTAAGGTCAATCACTTTATGCCTTCCCACATATGTAATATACATCAAGGGCTGTAGGGTATATACATAGGGCCTCCTAAGTCTCATTTTGGAGTGCATTTTATATTTTTACTGTATGTGTATGCATATGTATGTATTTTTTCCTTTATCAATAACTTCTAATTTATATTACCTTGCTATATTTCATGTAGCTATGAGGTTGCCACAAATCTTTTTTTAAACATAGCAATTATAACTGGAAAAATTATATGTATATAAATGCACTGAGAATAGGTTGGATCCATACCAAGAATTTTCAAAGCACAGTATCTCCCACAGAAACTCAATAACTTCTGGCTGAAAGAACGAATGAAAGAATAAGGAAGGATAGTTAATAGTAATCTTAGACAAAATGCCCCAGAGCAGGAGAGATCTTTGGTTCTGGTTTATTATGATGGACAAGGAAAAAAGACATTGGTGAATCTAGACTCTTTTAGTTTTGATTTGGGATGCCCATAAAAGCCTGCATAGTAAATCAGAAAAGGAGCACAGACATTCTGAATTAGGATACTTGGACTGGACTTCTACCTTCCCCAATTACAGCTGTGTGACACTGGGCAATTCATTGCATCTTATTTACAGGGCATAATGAGATAATGCACATTTAGAGACACCATAAAGATAAAATGAGATAAATTAGTTTAAAGCTTTATAAAGTGCTATAAAAATTCCAGTTGGCATAATTAGTATAAAAATAGTCTCAAGAATAAATATAATAAGAAAACTAAGGAAACATATCTTAACTTTTGAAAAAACTCGTATCTCTATACGAATTCCATTTTGTAATGTAATGAATACAATTTTAAACCTGCAGAATTATCAATGTGCATAGATTAATCATAACTGGAAATATGAGATATCTCCTAAGCACTTTATTAGAAACAATAATAACTAAAATTCCAGGCACTGTTGTAAGCACTCTCTAAATATTAATTCATTTAATCCTATAAGGTAGGTACAATTATTGTTCCCCAACAAGAAAAAGGGGTTTACTAGTTTGATGAAGGTCACATAGCAAAAAATACTAAGTAGGAAATCACAACAAGGGGATCTATTTCAAGAGTCTAATCATTTCAACACTACACTATAGGATCAGCATGTAGTGGTTTTTCAATCTCAGATTCATAGTCAAGGTTAAAATAAAGGTGAAAAATAGCCGGTTGCTACTACTGATCATTCATAAATGTAAAAAATTTAAAACTATTTTGTTCAAATTGCAAATATCAAAATTAAAAAAACTACTACAATCAATGAATATTCTGTTCGCTCTAATTGAAAAGTTTCAGCTCTTTAACAGGAAGACATAAAATGTATCTGAATAATTATACCATTTCTGAGGACACGTTTTTACATAGTAAAAGCTTTTTGTTTTAAACATTTGTTGCTTGAATCCAATTTAAAATTTTAATGCATGAAGTTGGTCTAGAATGAGCTGGTCATTTAGAATGAGTCTACATTCTAAACACTTTTTAAAAATGGTGTCAACTTTAAAAACACCTATAAAAGATCCATGTTGGAGTCAACTGAAAATGTTTCCAAAGTGCCAGTATCTGTTACGGTCCACACACTCTACAATATAGTGGGCATCCATCTAATTTAGTCATTAGACTTAAGAATCAAGCACTTATTCTACCAGATTTTATTTTCTCATATCCATCAGTTCCTTTCCTTTTCTAGTGCATCGCTCTAGTTCATAATGTTACTATAACGTGTTTGGACAACTCTCGCAGCTTCTTTATTACTCCCAACGTGAAAGGGAAGCTCCAACATTTAATCACTCATTTACACAAAAGACACAACGGGTGGTTAAAGACAAAAGTGCCAATTTAAAACGTTCGTAAAGGCAAGTATTATTTTCTATTTGTAGTACCTAAGTTATAAAATTTCACTGAGGCTAGAAATGTGAAGACTGGTCGCCTTTGAAGGAAGATAGAGTAAAACATTTATTTTATTTTATCTTTTTTTTTTACTCTTTGAGACAGAATCTCACTCTGTTACCTAGGCTGGGGTGCAGTGCCGTGATCTCAGCTCACTGAAACCTCTGCCTCTAGGGTTCAGGCCATTCACCTGTGCCTCAGCCTCCCAAGCTGCTGGGATTACAGGCTCCCGCCACCACGCCCAGTTATTTGGTATTTTTAGTAGAAACAGGGTTCGCCATGTTGGCTAGGCTGGTCTTGAACTGCTGACCTCATGTGATCCACCCACCTCGGCTTCTCAAAGTGCTGGGATTACAGGTGTGAGCAACCGCGCCTGGCCAAAGATTATTTCTTATTGCCTTAAAAGTGATCATTTGAACTTGTTTCTCACCTCTCTCAGACAACTATATACATTTTCCCAACAACACTCTCTACATATGGAACATCTATAAATCTCCTTAATCATATTCCACATTAAAATCAGAGTTTATTGATTTTTTTGTAAATTACTATTTTGAATACGCTGATATCTTTCTTTTAAATTATATCAAACAATATACAGGAAGAATAACCACAGGAAAATTAATTTTACATTTAATTGAATTAAAGTCCTTGGCAGTAATTCAAAACATAGCTGCATATCCAACTGACAAAGATATACATTTTTATTTTGGAAGGAAGATATGAAGAACACAGTTTGGGGTTTGTTCCATTCAGGAGCTCAAAAGCCATTTTCCTTTTTTTTTTTTTTCTTTTATTATACTTTAAAAGTTCTGGGATACATGTGCAGAACATGCAGGTTTGTTACACAGGTATACACATGCCATGGTGGTTAGCTGCACCTATCAACCAGTCATCTACATTAGGTATGTCTCCTAAAGCTATCCCTCCCCTTGCCCCCCAGCCGCTGACAGACCCTGGTGTGTGATGTTCCCCTCCTGGGTCCATGTGTTCTCAATGTTCAACTTCCACTTATGAGTGAGAACATGCAGTGTTGGCTTTTCTGTTCTTGTGTTAGTTTGCTGAGAATGATGGCTTCCAGCTTCAACCATGTCCCTGCAAAGGACATGAACTCATCCTTTTTTATGGCTGCATAGTATTCCATGGTGTATATGTGCCACATTTTCTTTATCCAGTCTATCATAGATGGACATTTGGGTTGGTTCCAAGTCTTTGCTCTTGTGAACAGTGCTACAATAAACATACATGTGAATGTGTCTTTTTAGGACAATGATTTATAATCCTTTGAGTATATACCCAGTAATGGGATTGCTGGGTCAAATGGTATTTCTGACTCTAGATCCTTGAGGAATCACCACACCATCTTCCACAATGGTTGAACTAATTTACACTCTCATCAACAGTGTAAAAGCACTCCTATTTCTCCACATCCTCTCCAGCATCTGTTGTTTCCTGACTTTTCAATGATCGCCATTCTAACTGGCGTGAGATGGTTATCTCATTGTGGTTTTGATTTGCATTTCTCTAATGACAAGTGATGATGAGCTTTTTTTCATGTTTGCTGGCTGCATAAATGTCTTCTTTTGAGAAGTGTTTGTTCATATGCTTCGCCCACTTTTTGACTTTGTTTTTTTTTCTTGGAAATTTGTTTAAGTTCCTTGTAGATTATGGATGTTAGCCCTTTGTCAGATGGATAAACTGTAAAAATTTTCCCTCATTCTGTAGGTTGTCTGTTCACTCTGACGACAGTTTCTTTTGCTGTACAGAAGCTCTTTAATTAGATCTCATTTGTCTATTTTGGCTTTTGTTGCCATTGCTTTTAGTGTTTTAGTCATGAAGTCTTTGCCCATGCCTATGTACTGAATGGTATTGCCTAGGTTTTCTTCTAGGGTTTTTACGGTTTTATGTCTTACATTTAAGTCTTTAATCCGTCTTGAGTTAATTTTTGTATAAGATATAAGGAAGGGGTCCAGTTTCAGTTTTCTGCGTATGGCTAGCCAGTTTTCCCAACACCGTTTATTAAATAGGGAATCCTTTCCCCATTGTTTGTTGTTGTCAGGTTTATCAAAGATCAGATGGTTGTAGATGTGTCGCATTATTTCTGAGGCATCTATTCTGTTCCATTGGTCTAGATATCTGTTTTGGTACCAGTACCATGCTGTTTTGGTTACTGTAGCCTTGCAGTATAGTTTGAAGTCAGGTAGCGTGATGCCTCCAGCTTTTTTCTTTTTGCTTAGGATTGTCTTGGTTATACGAGCTCTTTTTTGGTTCCATATGAAATTTAAAGTAGTTTTTTCTAAGTCTGTGAAGAAAGTCAATGGTAGTTTGATGGGGATAGATTGAATCTATAAATTACTTTGGGCATTTTGGCCATTTTCATGATATTGATTCTTTCTTTATGTCCTCTCTGTTTGCAGATGACATGAATGTATATTTAGAAAACCCCGTCGTCTCAGCCCAAAATCTCCTAAAGCTGATAAGCAGCTTCAGCAAAGTCTCAGGATATAAAATCTATGTGCAAAAATAACAAACATTCCTATGCACCAATAATAGACAAACAGAGAGCCAAATCATGAGTGAACTCCCATTCACAACTGCTACAAAGAGAATAAAATACCTAGAAATACAACTTACAAGGGATGTGAAGAACCTCTTCAAGGAGAACTACAAATCAAAAGCCATTTTCTAGATTCCTGAAATAAGCACAGAATGAAAACAATTCCTTAACTTTTAACCTTACATGGTAATGCTGCAGAATCACTGCTGCATAATATACTACCTCACAAAGGAAGATGTGCAGAAGTTCAGGGTTGAGAAGATAAACGTTTTGTTAATGTCCCATTAACACGTGGATGTGAAAGACAACTCTCCAAGTTTTATTACTAAGGGTAGCACAAAAATGTTGCACACAGAGTAGTATTACTTCAAAGAATGTCTCTAGAAAGGTGATTATTCAACTTACTTAGTATTCTGTGCAAACTCTGCTTGCTTATTCAATTTATTAAATAACACAGATGTTTCAGAAAGAGAAAAAAGCATCTGACACCTCTTCAGAGGCATGACTAATGGGCCATTATGACAGCAATTAAAGAGTAACCACTTGCAGCCTATAACTACTGACACAGCTACTGCGCATTTCTTAAGTTTTCTGTTAATTACATAAAATTTAAGTCTCTAATGAATTTCAATTAAACCAAAGTAGGGCATCAGATGGAAGGAAAAGTTGGTGAAGAATGACTTGCTAAAAATGCACACTGCTGAGCAGAGTATGATTTATGGTCAGGGTTTAATATTTCCTATTGGATTCTAACTGATTTATCATAGCTTCTTGGCAGACACGCAGCCTTTAAAATCATGTTCATATCAGCATGCCCAACCAACGTAGTAGAAAGTAAGAAAAAATGTCTAGCAGCCATAATTAAATTTGAAGGATAACAGGATACTCATTTTAAGTAATTATTAACACCATGCCCCTTAATAGAAATTTCAGGTTTAATTTTAACTTTAACTTCTTGGAGCTAAGGATTGTGTCTCAGAGTTCTTTTCAGTTCAGAGCATACTACAGAACATGGGATATTGCAGCTGCTCAAAGAATGTTTCCTAAATAAATAAATAAATGGAAAATGATAGTTGAAACCATCTTGGTTTGCTTCTACCAAACCAGTAAGAGGAAGAAGCAAAATAACAAATTCTTCCTGTGCACAGTTAAGCTTGCAAATTTAATCATATAAAACAAAAACAATGTCTTTAAGGTACCATTTTTGAATGAGGAAAAAATTGAACAAGAGAGACGTAAGTTATTTTAATCTAAGTCCAGACACCTAATACCTTGAGAACATTTCTCTATATATGTACAAGCTTAGATACCACTTTTGGCAATATTTTGTGGAACTATGAAGTGTGCTATAATTTTGTTCTTCTTACTGACATATTTATCATCAATTAGGTTAAGTCAAGTGAGCACAGCTAGGTGAGATTACAGATACGAGACCTTCAGCATATCTAATGTTTTACAACTGTGCTTTAACTAGATTAACTTTATAGGACTTTTATTTTTATTAAATACCAGAGGCATTTTGCAATAACATATTTTAATGATCAACAAACATTCCTGTTCATGCAATAATACAAAAGCTGCCAAAACAGATACGCTAGTTGGCAGGAAGCACTACGTGAAGACTGTATCTAAATGTAAAAATATTTAGATTATCCAAAAGTAGAAATGTTCAAAAGTTGAAACTTCCTTTGACCAGTAAGATCCCACTGAGATACAGAGACTGTGAAATATCAATTTAGAATTATTGACCTAAGAATAATTTTCTTTAGGGGGAGAGAAAACATGAACCGGGGATTACTGTGCATATTTTTTTTTTGGTGTAAAACAGCGATAAAAATGCAGTCTTACTGCTTCTGTGTTAGTGCTGGTAGTACTGCATACAATAAACGTAAAATAACATGGTTCAAGAATGGGTGGAAAAAAATCACAATGTAAAATGTTAAGGAAATCACACAATAGCTAGTGAATGGAACAAAGGGAACTAAGCCTTAGATATTCTAGGATTCGTTCTCAGATACTAAGTATGATAAAAGGTCTTTGAAAAGATCATAAATAATTCTCAGAAAAGTATTGTAAGAGCTTTTCACAACCTACAATACTGTCTTTTTATTTAATGTACTTTTAGACTTCCTTTTCTTTTACATTACCTAGCATGCAATCTATAAGTATTTACTGCGTAATGACCAATGTGCAGATAACATGCTAGCAGAGAGATTCTAAAATAGGTAAAGTAATCCACATTCTAGAAAGAAAATACATAAATATGGAAATATTTACAATATGAACATAATGAGGTAAGAGCTTACAGAAACATATACAAAATGTATCAGGAGGATGCTTATTAATGATGAGCTGCTTTGTGTGAGGAGAATTCAAAAACAATACTGAAAATAAAGGTTTGCATATTTTTCATTAATTTAGGTGCAAAATTCAATGATCAGATTAAGACAATAACATTACTGTCTAGTAACATAAATGTAATTTATTATTTCAACCTTCTGAATAGTTTTGAATTTGTCATTTTTGTTTCTACTTTACTTAGTAAACTATTACTCTCACATAACTTTTAAAATTTTAGCTAAACACAATTTTCAGAGCTTGACAATTATGTACTTCCTCAATTTATAAAAGTAAAACTGAGAAGTAGCTGAGAATGAAAAAGAGAAATAGTAAATGTTAACAACTTACTAACATTACTGAACATATCTTCATATAAGGTCATTAGGCCAATATAAAAAATCATGAAATAATTCAAGGAATTGATAAGCAACAAGCAAGAGGAACTACACCAATTTGGAGAATGCACAGTAACACATAGACATGTTGTGGTGATGTAAAATGTTGTGGTGATTACACAGCATTAGTAATACAGAAAGACAACTGGGAAATGTTCCTATGCCTTTTGCACATAATGAACCTACTGCAAATAGTTCACAAACCTAACAAATAAATACAGTAAGTCCTCAATTAATATTGTTAATTAGTTCTTGGAAATTGAGACTTTAAGTGAAACAACTTACTGTATAATGAAATCCATTTTACCCTAGGCTAATTGATAGAAACAAGAGTTAAGGTTCCTACAGCATACAGTATGTCACTTTGCTCAAAGTTGCAGTTTCCAAGAATGTACTGACAATGTGAAGTTAGGACTTAAGTAAAGGTAGTATTTATTTACTAAGAATAAACTTTCTTTTAAGAAGTATATAGAAAGTAAAATAAATATTTGTTGCTTTATATTCAGCCATACTTTTCTACTCACCCTGGGCTGCAAGGCAAACAACTATTTTATTATTATTATTATTACTTTATAGAGACGGGGTCTCCTTATGTTGTCCAGGCTGTTCTCGAACTCCTGGGCTCAGGGGATCTTCCTGTCTCAGCCTCCCAAAGTACTGGGATTTAAGAGGTGTGAGCCGCCATGCCTGGCCAGTAAACTATTTTGTATGATGCTTTGAACAAAACATTTTACTAAACAAATGTTTCTGTCAAACTCATAGCAGCTTCTGACTTTTAACCAACTTAACCTCCAAATACTAAGCACAGTATTGAGTTACAGATGTGAAGTCTTGCAACATGTATGCATGTGTATGCTCTAAGACTGGAGCCCCAAGAAAAATGGCTGAAATACACAAGCCCTGCATGGAGGCAGAGTGTTAGGAATTTGTATCAGCCTATTATTCTGATTTTCTTCAGGGAGAAATGCAAGGCTTTTAGTTTCTTTGTACTTGTAAAAACCACACTACCACCCTGAAGGCAAAGAAGGGTGACAAATACAATTTGTTTTCTTTGTTAGTTTAACACGTATCCTGAAACACTGAATGATTATCAGGTACACCAATCCTAAGTAGTCCAATTACAGACAATCTATCACTGAGTCAATATCTCTATAATACCTCCTACTGACACATTTGAAATAAACTTGCAAACAATTCTGTCTTCTACCAACATATCTACATTTATTGAATGTAGTTTAAAAGGCACTGCTAAGTTTGCAGAACTATTACTGTTAATGTAATTTAAATAGGAATCAAGTATCTATGTTGAGAATGATCTCCTTCAACATCTCCCTGTAATATGCAAATTTCGCCAACATCATGAAGGGATAAAAGGAAATAAGGGAGAGGATATAAAGAAAAACGTAAAACAAAATATAAGCCAAATGCATATGAAGAAGAGAAGTATAGGGATTTTGAACAACGTTACTGAGGTAGCAAAGATCTCTGGGCATTCAGAAAGGACTTTGAAAATATAAATCAACTGTAATTCATTTCCTAATTCTTCCTCTTTTCCTCATCCATTAAAAAAATATTCACAAAAGAAGAAGCAGGCCCTTTTATGACTATGAAAATGGGAAAATCATTATATTTTATTACTAAGTAAGGAGCTCGGCAGGCATCAATGCCCCTCTGAGTCTGTCAGCCCCCTTCCATGAGCCTCAATGTCCATCCTTCCTCAACTCATGCAGAGATGCAGGGTTGGACAAAGAAAATCAAGGACTGAGAGGGCTTAGAAATAGGGTAGGAATGTCAACTTTATGCTTCACCGAAAATCTTTTTTAAAGACTAGAAAATTTAATTATTTGCTTTCTAAACCCTATCAATATACTTCTAACTTCAATATAACTATGTCAAACAGTTTCAAAATGGCTTGATCAAAATATTCCATGACTCCTCCAAATACTCAAAACTGGAAATCTGTCCAAAGATCCATTTTAAAAATCCCCAATCTTTGTTACAGATGAAGAAATATAAGAAAGCCCTTGGGCTCACACCTGTAATCCCAGCACTTTGGGAGGCCGTGGCAGGTGGATCACAAGGTCAGGAGATCGAGACCATCCTGGCTAACATGGTGAAACCCCGTCTCTACTAAAAATACAAAAAATTAGCTGGGCACGGTGGCGGGCACCTGTAGACCCAGCTACTCGGGAGGCTGAGGCAGGAGAATGGCGTGAACCCAGGAGGCGGAGCTTGCTGTGTGCCGAGATCGTGCCACTGCACTCCAGCCTGGGCGACAGAGCAAGACTCTGTCTCAAAAAAAAAAAAAAAAGGAAAGTCCTTGGGAAAACCAGTTATTCTCCAGACCTTCCTATAAAACTTCAAATCAATTTATATTTATTGAATGCCTGCGGCAGATGGGAAGGCAATTTGCCTGAGATTATGCTTCAGTAAATAGGGAACTTTAATGCCTGTTTCTGTGGGAACTATAAGTGTTTGAGAGATACTTCCTGTCTGATTCTCCAATTTCAGCACTACGGAGCATATGTGAGACAGGAACCATGCCTCCTCAGGAGTAAAGAAGTTTGCTTGAAAATATCAAAATAAGATTTATCTACTATGGTTTACTTGGCTTCAGAAACTGACCTACTACAAACAGATTCTGACCTATCAATAAATGGCATAAAAATGTCTAGTTGGTAATACCTATAAGTGAACATACTGAAATCCATGGTACTACAGAAGTAGAACTACTGATGACTAATATAATAAAATTTATACATTTAAAGATAAAATATAAGATAGTTAAAAATCAAATTATATATAGCAACTCAAACATATAAAATCTTTACACAATCATTTCAAACAAAGCACTTACCAGCATTACTTCCTAAACCATTAAGAAAACTGAAAAGAGAAATATTAGTAGGACATATAAGAAAGACATCCATGTTGCTAATGATTATACCTGCCATGCCGTAAGGCAAGAGGTGCACATCAAATGCCCACAAGGCTCAATCTTGACATCTTTGTCATTCTCTGCACAAATCTTACAGAGCTGAAAAGTGGAGCCCATTTCACAATATAATTCATATTGTTCCTGGAATTTGGGGAGGAGGGAGAAAGTAATGTTAATGTATTTCCAGCACAAATTGTTAGTATCAAATTTTCCCAAATAAAATGACGCACAGTCAATATCTCACAATTGACCTTGTCAGAATTTTGTTACCATTTGAGACATGTTTTGAATTGATAATCACAATTTGGTCTACAAAATTCATTTTAAAAAGGTTTGAACTTTTATCATCTATCTTACATGCTTCTTAATGATTCATATTATTTAAGGTTCCTTTACTGTTCCTTTAGGAAGGGACTTGCTTCAATAGTCATGGTGACTCAAAAGACAAAATCTATGGTTTTAAAATAGGAATATAAAATGACTTTATCTTTTTTATAAATGCCACATGCTCATATAATTTAACTGTCAAATTGAAAAAAAAATGATACTTGGCTAAACATTAAATTTTACTGTTTCAATATCTTTAGAAATCCCTGAATGCAAGAAAAGTGACAAACATTTACCAAGCACTTCCCGCATGCCAGGCACTGTGGTCCACACTTACTATTTCACTTCATCTCCAAAGCACAAGAAGATATATTGAACTTAACAAAAGTTAGGCCTGGGGCTTAATCAGTTTAACTTGTTTGCTTCAAACTCTAAATTAAGCCTCTGACTAAAAAGTGCATACGCTTTCCCTAACACTGTCAAGAAAACAAATCACTTCAGTAACCAAAAACCATTTTATTAAAACTGCAATGTTCTTGATTGATTGGGTTTTTAGCTTAAAACATTTGACACAGTAAAATTTTCAAAATTCAAATACTGAAAAGATCTTCGTGACAAAAATACAAATAAATTGGTAAATTTGAAAAAATACAAATAAATTGGTAAATAATGAAAAAAGATGTTAGGAATACAAAGAAAAGGAATTATGAAACCAATATTTGGGTAAATAAAGCAACTTTTAGTTCAGTAAGTGACTACAATGTGCCTGGCACGGAGTAGGATAAATAAATAATAATATTTAGTCCACAGACTACTAAAATATATTATAATCCTGGTGAGAAAAATATACATATACATAAACATACATGGATACATATGCATGTACATGCAGGTACACACATGTACACATAAACTGTGTCTATTATGATGTGTGAATATACAAAAATTTTGTGGGGAACTTAAGGAAAGAGACGAGAGAATGCATAAAAATGGAGAAGAAATAAAACTAAAGTAATTCAAAGTAAGTTATAAATTGCTGATGTCCCTGAAATAATAGATAAGTATTGATACTGGTTATGACTGTCCAAAGGAAAAATATGCAATTATAAAAAAAATTACATTAAGCTAAAATCAAAGATGCAGATCTCAATGCAACCTAAACAGTAAGAGTATTTATGAGTAATTTAAGGGGATGTTATTACTTCCAAAGATTTATTTTTTTAATGGCTTTATAAAGAGGAACTGTCTTTCCTAAGTATCCTTTCACACATATTTGAAAATACAGGATCACCACATAACTTTTAAAATGGCAATCATATATTAAATTTAAAATGGCAATCATGGCCGGGCATGGTGGCTCACGCCTGTAATCCCAGCACTTTGGGAGGGCGAGGCGGGTGGATCACCTGAGGTCAGGAGTTTGATCCTGACCAACATGGAGAAACCCCATCTCTACTAAAAATACAAAAATTAGCCGGAAGTGGTGGCAGGCACCTGTAATGCCAGCTACTCGGGAGGCTGAGGCAAGAGAACAGCTCGAACCCAGAGGGCAGAGGTTGTAGTGAGCCGAGATCGCGTCACTGCACTCCAGCCTGGGCGACAAAGCAAGACTCTGTCTCAAAAAAAGAAAAACAAGGCAATCATTTATTAAATTTACACGTACAATATGTACATATAAATGTCAATGTGTATGTCTCACATAATAATGTAAAGACCATGGGAAAGGAAATCTGGAGAATTATAAGGTAAATTATTATCTACTGTCTTAAAAAAAGCTGTAATTCTTCTCTTGTTTTTTCCCTTAGATTTTTATTACTTATTACACAAGGCGTGAACATATCTCAAATATAAAATATTTTAAAACTAGACTGAATATAAAATAAAATATTCAAGTTCTCCCTTCATCCCCTCCCTCACTGCTCAATCCCTTTTCACCTCCTCAGTTAAATCTTCTTACCAGTTTGGTGTTTTTTTGATCTTTTAAAAACTATACTCACATGTTCATATACAGCAATTAATTAATTATTTCCTTACAGAAGTTGAACGTACATAATGCAACTTGACCAAATGAAATGTTACCTACATGTACTTTACATAAATGGAATTATTTTACAGTACAAGATGCAGAAGTTCCCATGTGAGTATGTAGAGCTACCTCCCTCCTGTTCATGACTTCACACAATACAGTATGAGAACAGTAGTCTATTTTATTTAATCTATTACTAAAGTTCTTAGTATTTTGTAATTTTTCGCTTTTACAAAAAATATTACAGTAAATACCTGTTGTATAGATTTTTGTGTGCATGTGTAAGTGATATATATGGGATCTATTACATATATAGAATTTAAAGTGAAAAGATATTTTCACTTAGATTTTTATAATCACTGAATATCACTCTCAAGAAAGGTTTTACCAACTTACATTCCTATTCATAAGCTATGAGGCTGCCAGCAATGGATTTAGAAAAACATAATTGTTATCTTCAACAGGCTTCAATTACCCATTTGACTCTAAAATCTAAGGCATATAATTATTCTAATCTTTTTTTGGTAGCTTTCTAAACTATGGCTCTCTCCTTACATCCACCTACTTGCTTATGGATTTATTTATTTCCCCCATATAAATGCCAATACTATATGGAAAGCAAGAATTTTAACAGCATAAATTTGTATCAAAAAATCTAAGAAAGTAATATAATTTCTCCTTAAACACTCTTAGAATTCCTTAAGTATATTTTGTATTAAATACCTGTGCATGATTTTAACTACACTAAGAGAGTCTTATTTATTTCAAGGGCATTATGGATACTTATTTAATTATACTTTTCTAGCAATTATCCTTACCTGTGTAACTTTTATATGGTCATGAGGTGTAGGTTCACATAATCCAGTTAAATCAGGATTATAACTCCTCCCATCAGGATAAAGATAACTGAATTTAAACAGAAACTTTATTACCTTAAATATACAAGTTTTAATTGCATTTAAGGATATTTAATCAAATTTTTCTATATTCAAACATACATTTGGATGTTTCCTTTTCATGTAACATATCAATAACATATTACTTCAATGTTTCCAAATTACTATGTTGTTTTTAGGACACTTAAAATGTAGAATTTTCATATAAGAAATACATAATGAATATAGCCTAACCCACTAAGCAACCATTTTCAATGAAATACCTTTAATATATGTCTCTTATATAAGTTAAGAATTTATTTCACTGGTCAATCATGTTGTATTCCAAAACACTTTGAAGATATACCTATTTGCAACTATTACATCCTTCATCTGAGGCACAGGTAATAATGGTATCATTTTACACCATGCCTAATACCACATGGAAAGAAAAATATAATTAAAGGCCACAGTTTTCTTGTAAGTTACTCAAACACTTCTGTGGTATTCCTGTTTCTACAGTTTCCATATCTCTTCTCCCATCTTCCCCTCACCTAACACAAACACATGTGCACATATGCAAACACACAGACACACAGGCACATACACATTTTAAAAAATTAGAAAATGTTACGTTTCCATGTTTCATTGACTTAACACTACAAACACAAAATGGTCTATAGATACAAGGTTCTATTATCAGGGAAAACTGAAATCTGAACTAAAAGTTGTAGTAATAATGCATTCTTGCTGTGTTAAATCAGAAGTTGTACTTGTTATTGAAAAATTCATTAAAAAATAAAATTTACTGTGTTGGTAAATACTTATTTTTAATTGAAAAAAGTGGTAATGTCACTGCTGTATTTCATCAGTTTATTAAATTATGGTTAGTTCTGTTTAACATCTTTCTATACTAAATTTCTTAAATAAAACAATAAGAATATAGTACTGTAGTATGTATATTTTAAAGGGTAAAACTATAACAAATCTATTCTTTAAAATAACAAAAAATATTTATCCTCGAATGAGGAGTCTACAAACATGTTAAGTGTTAGAATTTACCCAGGAAAACCAGAAAAATGAACTTAAAGGACAGATAATTCTTACATAGTAAGGGACAAATCAGTGAGATGATTTTTTTATGATTTAGCAAAAGGAGTTTACTACATCTGAGTATGATACAAATTTAGAATGTCCTTATGGGTGTGTTACAAAATTTGACAAACATTAAATGAGGAATGATAATCCAAAGAAGAATAAGCAACTTTTTTATATACCCTAAAAATTGGCCATTTAAAAAAATATTATATAAAATTTTATGTATCACATTTCAAATAATATGAAGAAATTCTAGCAAGAATTCAGAAATTAAAGATTACAAAAATCATGATTAGGGTACCATAGGAAAGGTTAAAGGTTCTTTTTAACCTATCAGGAGGTTGTTGATAGGTTCTACTTATAAATTCAAACTTTAAAGTATATTTTCTTAAAAAAAATCTGTAATCATGGTAAATCAAAATCTATACACAAAGCTTTGATGCATTAGAAGAAAGGTATAAATAACCGACACTAGCAAATTTATGAAAATTAGAAGGAAAAAGAAAGAGAAATACACATTTGGTACCATAACTTGCCATACAATTACTATGTAATTAATTTATTGAAAGGTTTTGTGTGTGTTGGTATTATTATTATTTTTTCAGATAAGGTCTCACTCTGATGCACAGGCTGGAGTGCAGTGGCACGATGTTGTCACTGTAGCCTCAACTTCCCAGGCTCAGGTGATTAACCCATCTTAGCCTCCAGAGTAGCGAGGACTACCGTCACGCGCCACCATGCCCAGCTAATTTTTTTGCATTTTTTGTAGAGCTAGGGTTTTGCCATGTTGCCCAGCCTGACCTCGAACTCCTGGGCTCAAGTGATCCTCCTGCCTTGGCCTCCCAAAATGCTGGGATTACAGGCGTAAGCCACCACTCCCACCCAAAAGCTCATAGGTTTTTAGAAATTCCTAATTTTTCTTTGTATAAATCTCATCACTTTTTTTCTTTTCTTTCTTTCTTTTTTGCAATTACTTTGATAAAGGTAAAACTCAAATCATTTGCTCTTTGTTAACTCTGGTGGACTTTTTCCTTCTAGGTTTCTACCAGAATTCATACTGCAGCGAGTTTGATCACGAGCATCTCTAAGTTATCCAGCAAGGCAGAGGGGAAGAAAAAGCAGCATGATCAAGTGCACTGAGAATACAAGGAGAGGACAAAGGGAAAGGCATGTGAATAAAACAAATAAGAAGAATCAGACATATTTACTATGAAGGGGCCCAACAGATTGTCCATACTTTGTGTGTGGAGTGAGTGGGGGAGAATTCATTATTAATCTAAAAAACAAAGGGAAACTTAACTTATTTTTAAATTTTAAAAAGGAATAGCTTGAGATAAACTAAACTTAGCTATTAACATATAGTCCTGAATATGGAGTTATTATTAGTGTGAAAAAGGAAAGATCTACAGAGAGAAAAGAAAAGGGGTGGAGGGAGAAACAGATAAGAAAGAGAAAAGAAAATCTGGCACTAACAATCAAAATAAAAAAAGTGAAACTGGCTGGGCACAGTGGCTCATGCCTGTAATCCCAGCACTTTGGGAGGCCGAGGCGGGTGGATCATGAGGTCAGGAAATTGAGGCCATCCTGGCTAACACGGTGAAACCCCGTCTCTACTAAAATACAAAAAACTAGCAGGGCATGGTGGCGCACGCCTGTAGTCCCAGCCACTTGGGAGGCTGAGGCAGGGGAATCCCTTGAACCCAGGAGGCGGAGGTTGCAGTGAGCAGAGATTGTGCCACTGCACTCCAGCCTGGCAACAGAGTTAGACTCCATCTCAAAAAAAAAAAAGAAAGAAAAAGTGAAACTAGTATTCTAAGGGTTATATGAAGAAACAGAAGTCAATTATTCTAAATAATTTTCTCTTAATATATAAACAGTTTTACATCCATTTTAAAACTACCTTTAAGTCCCAAGTTTTTATCATATGAAAGATAAAAATTCATGTTGTAATTTGAAGTTGAAATGTATTTGCTATAACATAGTTTCAAATAATTAGGTTACCTTAAAATGATTATATAAAAAGATGAACAAAAAACTAAGGAACATCCATTATTTCTCAGTCTTAACATAAAAAGCAGCCTTGCTATCCATTTTCGCCATCACAAAGCAATCTTTATTTTTCAAATTCATGAATCATAAGCACTCCAACTTCCATTTCTCATACTTACAATCCTTCCCTGCTGCCATCAATCAGGGCTTGAAATAAGGGCTTGTTATGAGGTATGGTCTGTAAGATATTCCCATCCCCAGTCACATAGCCAATGGCCCACTGTCCCAATCGAGTGCAACTTAACCGGAAAATATAGCTGCAAAACATAAGAAAATTACATCTAATTACATTCAGAATATAAATCAATACTAAACAATTTGTTAGGTTTCTTCCAAGCAAAAGAATAAACAATCATTTAGAATTCCTGAATACTCCTCATATTCTGTCTTCTAACTTATTTTTAGCAACAATGTACTTCTCCATTTATCAATTTACAAGAGAAACACTGATCATTTCTTTTTATTTAAATACTTCCAGATACATATATAAGAAAATAAACAAGATTGTAAACTAGGGATTTTTTTACCATCATCATCAGGATGCGGTGTATGGAAATGCTGATGGCATGGAATAGCTACAAAATAAATCACTCTTGGAATGTAAAAATAAAATAAATAAGTAAAAATTTAAATTTAATTTGCCTACCTCAGACAAAAACTGAGCCAGTTTCTACTGTAGAACTCAATATATTCCTTTGTAATTTAGACATAAAAATTAGGGTTTTTTTTTTTTTTTTTTTTTTGAGACGGAGTCTTACTCTGTCACCCAGGCTTAGAATTCGATATATTCCTTTGTAATTTAGACATTAAAATTAGTTTGTTTGTTTTTTTTGAGACGCAGTCTCACTCTATCACCCAGGCTGTAGTGCAGTGGCGCCATCTCGGCTCACTGCAACCTCCGCCTCCCAGGTTCAAGCGATTCTCCTGCCTCAGCCTCCTGAGTAGCTGGGACTACAGGCGTGTGCCACGACGCCCAGCTAATTTTTTGTATTTTTGTTGTTGTTGTTATTTTGTTGTTGTTGTTGCTTGTTTTGTTTTTGAGACAGAGTCTTGCTCTGTCGCCCATGCTGGAGTGCAGTGGCGCAATCACGGCTCACTGCAAGCTCCGCCTCCCAGGTTCACGCTATTCTCCTGCTTCAGCCTCCCGAGTAGCTGGGACCACAGGTGCCCGCCACCACACCCAGCTAATTTTTTTGTATTTTTAGTAGAGATGGGGTTCACCGTGTTAGCCAGGATGGTCTCGATCTCCTGACCTGGTGATCTGCCCGCCTTGGCCTCCCAAAGTGCTGGGATTACAGGCATGAGCCACCGCGCCTGGCCAATTTTTTGTATTTTTAATAGAGACCACGTTAGCCAGGATGGTCTCGATATCCTGACCTCATGATCCACCCGCCTCGGCATCCCAAAGTGCTGGGATTACAGGCGTGAGCCACCGCACCCGGCCAACTGTTAAAAAAATAGTAACTTTTCTTTCAGGTATTCCTGCCATTCATCCCTAAAGCTCAAAAGTGCAAACTAGGTAATTTCATGCCTGCCATCTAACCATGTCAAATTCAGTATCTTACAAGGGGAAGTTAAGATAGTTCAAAAATATAAATCAAATCAAGTCCCTTGAAACTAATATCCAACAAAAGGAGGCAGCAACTTGGCTTTAAATCCATCATTATCATTTATGTATTCATTTAGCTATCTATGTACTTATTTCATTTTAGATCATTTCTCTTTATTTGAGTGTACTGCATTCAATCTTTCTATCAGGATATCCTTCTGGATTTTATTACCCATTAAGCAGATCAAAAACAAACCAACTTAAATCTGTTGGCTATATTTTAATATTCGAGCTGCTGTATGTATGTGGCAGACACAAGTATGTCAAAATATACTTTAGTCATTGATAGACCAAGCACTATAAATGTAACTTGAAAGATATACTTTAACATACATAATGGCTGCAGTCACTGGATTTAATTAACTTGTATATTTAGTAGTAGAGTGTAATTTCATCTTTGGACAAACTAGAATTTAAAAAAAGAAGTGATTTTTAAATATTAAAAACTTTATATTGGTGATAGAATCTTTGGAAAGAACTTTTCAAAAAAGTCTAAAAACATATATCCCTAGAGAAACTGAAAATAGGATATCAATCTGTCAACTATTGGCATTCTTAATCAAAATCAGATAAAATAATGCCACAGAGACCTACGGCTATGATATTATGAGAAGTGCCAAAAATAATAGAAAGTCACTATAAATTATAATTCAGAAGGACATTATTAAAATGTTACATAAAAAAATTAATGATAAAATTCCTTCAAATTAAGTCAAAAGTTAAAATCTTAAAAATCTGTGTACTATGAATCTCAGCAAAGTTTACAGTGTATTAACATGAAGAAAATAATTACACATCTGCATTGCTAGTAATTTTAAATGTAATTCCAAATTTATTCATATAGTAAGAATCTAGTAGATACTGAAATACATACTTGTGAAATTGCTCACATTTTTAATTCATGTCCTTCTCTGTTGCTCTAAACATTGTTTTGGGATGGTGTTTCTAAAACTCATTATTATACAGAAGGTTCAAGCAATTCATGTATATAAGAGATAGTAATACCAGCAATCTGGTAAGAGCCAAGGGCATTTTAGAACAATTTCTTCCTCTCATGCACCTTTTTCCTATTCCATTTAATTTGCTGCTGACCCTTTGGCTGGTGGCTACCCCTTCCCAACCTCAAGTGAATTTTTGGCTTATTTTTAGCACCTTGCTCTCTTAAACAACATGCTTCATTTAATCAAATTGGGGCCAGGAGTGGTGGCTCACACCTGTAATCCCAGCACGTTGGGAGACTGAGCAAGGTGGATCATTTGAGGCCAGGAGTTCGAGGCCACCATGGCCAACATGGCGAAAACCCGTCTCCACTAAAAATACAAAAAAATTGGCAAGGCATGATGGTACATGCCTGTAGTCCCAGCTACTCAGGAGGCTGAGGCATGAGAATCGTTTGAACCCAGGAGGTGGAGCTTACAGTGAGCCCAGATAGTACCACTGCACTCCTGCTGGGTGAACACAGTGAGACTCTGTCTCAAAAAAAAAAAAAAATTAAAAAAAAATATATATATGCATATAAAATGAAGTATCTTTCATGTTGACGAGGTGGTTTAGGGTTCAATGCCACTCTTGTCACCTAATGAATACTTCACTTAGATTTCCAAATGTTACTACCTTCACCCCATAACTCATATTTTGTCAGATGGATCCCCAATAATAAAGCACAACCTAAGGAGCCAAAATGTCCTTGAAGTAAATCCAATTGTTTTCTATACTATGAAGTCAAAGACATGAAATACTTTCCAAGATAAAAAAAAAAAAAATGTTAAACACAGATATTCTCCAAAGCAAATATTTGTTACAGTTTTTTTTTTATTCATTAAGGGTGTTTTCCTAAACACATCTTTAGTACCCATGTCATACTTTACACATTATAATTTGTTATATATTATTTATTTCATCATTAGCTACCTAAAATTTAGTAGAAAAAATCATTACATGGCAAGTTAGGAAGGAAAGAAGGATTTTTTTCTCAGAGGACATTATTCTAGTTTTTTAAGGTATGACTGATATACAAAAAAGCTGTATAAAATGTATATATTGTACACATTTGAAGATAAGTTTACTGGTGGGTCTTATGATATTCTTATCAGAGGGCAGTAGTTTTTTACTAAGAGAACTTTTCCAAATAGTAATGAGACCTGGCTGTTGTTCTCAATATTGTAATTCATGTTCTCCATGATACTGAACAAGAAAACAAAACCAAAAATAAAGGCCTCAGTTCCCTCATTATTTCTATGATTGGACAAGAAAATTTATCAAATAACTCACATGTTAAATTTTGTATGACTGCATAATTCCAACCACAACACATTTTTCACATCATACGCCAAGAGCAAGAAAGATACTTTATATGATGTCATTCAAGAGAGTAAAAACTATGGAAAAATCTGGTCATGAGAGATTCTTGAATGAAAGAAAATCATTCATCTAAACCACTGTCAATATGCAAAATAACTGACCTTCTCTCATGGTTACAATGAGAACTAACTCTCCTTAGTCTAAATAGAAGATTTCAGTGGAAGCCAAACTGTTTTTGTATTCACTAGCTCCTTTTTCAAATACACTATATAAATTCTTAAAAAGACAAAAATATGGAAATTTTCATAATGGCAGAGAAGAAAAAATCAGCACTATTGGCTTGCACTTAAAAAAAAAACTGTTTTGGCCAGGCATGGTGGCTCACGCCTGTAATCCCAGCACTTTGGGAGACCAAGGTGGGCAGATCACGAGGTCAGGAGATCAAGACCATCCTGACCAACATGGTGAAACCCCATCTCTACTAAAAATACAAAAAATAGCTGGGCGTGGTGGCACACACCTGTAATCCCAGCTACTTGGGAGGTTAAGGCAGGAGAATTGCTCGAACCAGGGAGTCGAAGGTTGCAGTGAACAGAGATTGTGCCATTGCACTCCAGCCTGGTGACAGAGCAAGACTCCATCTCAAAAACAAAGCAAAACAAAACAAAACAAAAATGTTATAAAGTACAAACATTATATACACCATAAACCAAATAAAAATGATACTAGAAAAAAAAGGCAGTCTTAAAAACCAGCACCAAATTCATCCCTAAAATGGAATGTTCTCTATATGAAAATCAGAGCACTAATGAATACCAGAATAGCATCTGAAATGTGAGGACTCTGACAAGCAGGTCTCTAATATCCCTACTGCCGTACTCAGCATACTGCCTGCCATAGCACAAATGCCTACTATGGGCCTAATGCATTTTTAGATGAAATACATGGGAAAATGCACTGAACCATGGAAGAGACAGATTTTCTGGATCCAGATTTGCCATTAATAAGGTGTAATTTCTTGGCCAAAGCCACAGGGGCTGACCAACCTCTCCAAGTCTCATTTAGTTTCATCATGTGGAAAATAAAATATAAATTCTGAGGCTATAATAAAACACGAGGCATTATGAAAAAAGTTTTCAAGGACACGAAATTGGTTTTGATTATAACAATAGGTTTATATATGCTTATGTACATACATGTATTTGTTCATAAACTTACATGTATATTTATGTGTTCATGTGCATGTATATGTACTTATATTTATCAGAGAGCCTAAATGAATGTCTTAAAAATACCCTAAAGTAATGAACATAAGACTGTTCTATTTATTTGTTCTTTAGCACAGTATTCAAGTATTCAAATATATACATTCAATTTTGCACATAAACACGGATATCATGAAAACAGAAAGGAGACCATATCCCCTTTCACTTTATGAATACCAAGTTTCAGAGTAAGCACAATGTATCAATTTAAAACATTATGTTAAGAAGCACCATTTTGGTCTTTTACCTTTTCTAGCCCCCTCCCAAGCATGCCATCAGCGGGTATTGCTGACTTACTTAGGAACAAACCATGGAGAATTTTTCATCTTTGGATATATCACATAATATTACTGCTAAAAAGTCTTACCTTCCGGGTTTGGTGCTATATTTCTGTAGTCGTGCTTTAACTTCATCATATGTGAGAAATGCCATGTAACCTGGATGTGTCACAGCTAAGAAATTCCAATTCCGCAAAATAGAGCCCCAAGGCTAAAAAATAAAAAAATTAAAAGAGATTAGTATCTAGAGAATATCAAATATTTTGATTACATACTGAACCATATTTAATACACTTAACATTATCTTGGATATTTTAAAAGTTAATCTGACCTTATGTGGTTTAGGTCAACCTTTGTTACTTAACAGCAGACGTTCAAGTCTATTGTTCTTTACAGAAATATGATTAGGCAGAAAACAGATTTTTCAGGAAGAGAATACAGAGAACAAAAAAGAAAACCACAAAATCTCTTCTCTACACAGCCTATTCTCGCTACGGCACTTGTGACCATTGTAAAACACAAATGAAATAATTCTTTTGTTCAAAGCCTTCTAACTTTGAATAAAAGTCAAAGTCCTCATATATCACTTAGAAGGACTTTACAAGGTTTGATCCCCAGCAGTTCCCTTTTTTGTCTCCATCTGCTATAACTCTCCCACTTTCTGCATCTTCTCCAGCCTGCTATTGTCTTGAACAAAAAAGCCCTCTTCCCCCTCAGAGACTTTGTATTTGCCGATGCCTTTACTTGAATTTTCTTCCCCCAAATATCCATCTCATTCCTGTCTCCAAATGTCACTTCCTCAATGAAGCCTTCTCTGACCAGTGTATTTAAAATTGTTACCTCTTGCCATATTCTTCACCTCCCTGTATGTCTGTTAACTGTTAACAACTGCTTCATTTTACACAGTAAGAAACCATATCATAGAACTTGCATGACTTGGCAAAGGTTACACATTAACCATAAGCTACATAAGGGCAAGGGACATGCCTGTCTTGCTCACCCATGGGATGCCAGGACCAATGCAAGTGTCAGATAATAGTAATCAGCCAGGGATAATTGTCATTGAACAGATAGATCCTCTAAATAGTGACTTGTGTAAAAGGCTAGTGTTAACACTACAGTAGTCACATCTGGCTTAACTGTACAGAACTATAAGCTTAGGAAAGGTTTAGGGTTTAAAAGTGAGTTACATAAAAACAAAACTTTTCACAGAAGTATTTGGTTTGTACCACTGTATCATTCTCTCTTTAATCTGATTAGTTGTCTCTCCAGTTACCAGGGCAAGAGAAAAAAGGCAGTCAGTGATAGACAACTTTACTCAAGGGTGTGGATGAATCATCTCTGCGATTTTTTTAAGGCTGACGCTACATTTATTCCAAGGAACTGGCAGCATACTCTATCTGATGTGCCAGATTATTAAATCTTCTACATAAAAGAAAAAAAAAGTATTTTTACGTTGCCATGTTAAAGCTGTTAAAGCAGTCATCCTAGACATGATTACTGGTAGAAAGTTCCTGCTTTTGTTTGTTTTGAGACTTGTTCCTCATTATTGTTAAGCAAGTTACAAATTTACAAGGCAGAATTCTGCAAGGATTATATCCCTTGAGATGAGGATAACAAAGAATGATTTAGTAATAATGAAGTTTTTTAGCCTTTTTCAACATAACAAGAAAAATCTTTGGGGTATTTCCCCATCACACTAAAATACCTAATTGGGCAAGAAAGGCGCTCTAGAGAATAATAATATGAGAGGTTGAAAAAAATGCATGTTTTTAATTTTCTTCCTAATGCATGACTAAAAACTGCATTAAACATTACTTGGAAAATGTCAGCATATATTTTAAAAAACTGAGCAATAACTGTTATTCTAGACCCTAGTTTTTGTTTTGTTTTGTTCTACCCATCTATGAAGGACAAGGATGAAAGAAATACCAAACAAATATTTGGGTCACTTCCATTAAAGTCCACACAAATTAGTGGAAGAGTGTTTGAAAAAAAATGCTAAACTTTATAGAGCACCAATGCACAGATCAAAATACAAGTAAAAAAATTAAGTTGGAGTTTTGAGCCAACTGCTACAGTATTCAGCAACCATTTCTTAGTACATAATCCAGAGGGCCAGCTTCTAATTGCAAAAATATTTATGTAATAGAATGAGTCTGTGTATTGTTTTCCTTGTATGCAGCCCATTCAAAACAGAAACATGTAGTACTTATGTGCTTTTTCTTTTTAAAGTATTTCGACAACTACTGGCTTAAAAAAGGCAAAACAAAGTGCTTTGGAGAGTAACTTTTTTTTATTTTGTTTTTCAGATTGAAGAAATTTTTTTGTGTACAAGAACATAAAATTATCTAGATACTTTTAAATGACTATAGAAATTAATGAAGTGAATAAAGGAGACAAGTCCCTCCATTCTCCCAAATGCTACTATTTTCAAGAAGAGCCAGTTACTGACTTACAACTTAAGTTGGAAGAGGGTCCTTGGCTGGTCTGCCTAGACACTCTCTATAATTCTTTACTACAACTGAGGACTTTCCTCTTCTTTGATTTTCCTCACTATTCCATTGATGCTACACATTCCATAGTCAATAGGATATTCTACTAAAATACTCCGTCCTTATCCTGCTACCCCCAAATGTAGTGCCCCATTTCTCAGTGACCCCATTTTTTCTAACAGTGGGGATATAGAGGAAAAGGGGAACAACAGCCCCAGGGAGAAGGAAGGGAGAAGCAAAATCCCTATAATTTCTTTCCAGGACTAATATTAGCATGTGCTGATTCCAGCATCTCTAAGTGACTTTGAGAGAAAAGAGAAGGATAAAGAGAAGGAAAGAAGGAAGAAGAGGAAATGAGGAAGGTGACCACAGTAAGATCCCTCCAGTGACTCCCAAGTATTTGTTCAGGTTCTGCCTGCATATAAGAATGAAAGCCAAGAGGAAGCAAACATTTTTACTTCTTTCATTCCCTCTGCAATTCTCAACTTCATCTCCTGCCCCCCCACTGGCTCCTTCTTCTGCTAGTTTCTCTACTTCAGACCCCAAATTCTAAGTGTACCTTGCTCACCTTCAGTTCCCTTTCTGCTAAATACCCCACTCCCAATAATTTAGTCAGAAGTCACTGCCAATTAACTACTAATATCATGGCTATAGCTGAATGTATGTTCCCGCAGTCACACAGTATTAGCAAAACATATTTTCATACAGAATATATAAATGTAAGGATTTAATAAATATAATACATTTAAGAAAATCACTTAATTTTTAAAGTTTTATAAAAATAAAAGATCAGCAAAAGTTAAACCATCTACTTCTCTATAAACAGAATCAATTTTATCATATTTTAAGGCACACATACGATTATATTCAAAGCATTTGATTACAGCATAGAAATAAATGGAATGATGAATCTCAGAAATACACGGGCTAACAAGAGTTCTTCAGCTGCTTCTGTAATCATGTTTTTAAAATGATTAGGCATTCCCTAGCCCAGGTAAGATTTTCATTTTATGATATAAAACTTTTCACAGTAGCTTGACTTAAAAATAGCCCTTTCTTTTCCCATCCCAGTGAAAGTAAATAAGATATATATTCCTTAGAGTATTAAGGTTGACTTGTGCTGTTTTAAAGTAAAACAGCTTATAAGAAAATATGTCCACATACTAAATAGCAGTTTAGGTAATCGTTTAACCAACATTAAGTTGCCCTCATACTTTCAATATATAACTGCAAGGAATTCTAGCATTTAATACCCACAGTAAAAAGTCATCCAGGCTCACCACAAAAAAATATACTCACTTCCTAGAATGAGCAGTTAGGTTTAATGTAGGAAGATTACTTTTACTCTCTTCCTTGACAAGGTGAAGAAGCAAAGCTCTTACTATTTAGAATGTCTTTGTATCATGTTAAATAAATAAGATATTCTGTAAAATTATCAGAAACCTTTAAAGAAAGGAGAGGTTCCATTATAAAATGACCAATATCAGACAACTTTTTTTTCTAAAATATATCTTAAAATCTTTGAAAAAAACATAAACTGTCAAACTGTAATACATACACCAAGGGAATAATCACGAATTTAAAAAATTTAAAATAATCAAAAGCACACTTTCATCAGTGATTTATGTAATTGCTTACCCTATATAGAAGGTAGAATTATGATTCTGTAATTGTAATGAAGTGAAATATATCCTATATGTATTTTTTTTTTTTTGAGACAGAGTCTTGCTCTGTTGCCCAGGCTGGAGTGCAGTGACACGATATCAGCTCACTGCAAGCTCTGCCTCCCGGGTTCACACCATTCTCCTGCCTCAGCCTCCCAAGTAGCTGGGACTACAGGTGCTCATCACCACGCCCAGCTAATTTTTTGTATTTTTAGTAGAGGCGGGGTTTCACATCCTATATGTACTGTTGACAGGAGTTAATCTCTCTTCTAATAATGGGTTCCTTCATAAATTAAAAGCTAATCCTGTGCATTGTGGTTTTTATTACAAAAACCAGTCATCCAATCCTTGCTAGCTAGTGCCAAGCAGAATTATAAATCAGAGAAGTTCATGTAACATGAAAAACATGAAATCAACATTATACTCTGATATTTGTTGAAAGCATGTTTCAAAGAGAATCAATGTTACTTCAGATTAAAATGATAAAAAATAATATCAGAACATAAGTAAGCCCAGTCTGATCAATTTACCTCATTTACTATATAATTTATGTTACCAAATCATAAAAATGTTAAGCAGAAAATTTTTATTTTGTGACTACTTGAACTGAATCCCACAGATGATACACATTTTAGTGGCAGAGTCAATCTCAAAACACAAATTTCAAGTCTTCATGTTTAAGATAATTCCATTAAGGCACGCAAAAGAAGAAAATGATAGTATCCATATAATGCTACCTTCTTCTAATTTGCTATGTGAAAACAATTATGGAAGATAATTTAAAGGGAAAAACAATAAGCACAACAAAAATGTTCATCTTAAAGTTGTTTACATTAGAGAAAATGTGGGAAAAGACCTAAATTTTTCAAAAGAGAGCTTTGTTAATACTGACATACTATTTTGAATGAATATGACAAGGGAACTGATGAAGAATATTTATTGACTTTGAAAAATGTTCATTACACATGGTTGAATGTGCAAAGCAATTTACAAAATAAGTACAGGACACAGTTCTGTCCTATACAGAACAGTCTGATATTTCTAAGTTTACTATTTCCCTTTTGACCTAATAAACACAGAAGGCAAAGGGAAAGATTTTAGATCTAGGTGGCAAATGCCCACCTCCAGTTGTTGCATTCTATCCATCATTGTGCTAAAAGATCAACAAAATAAAGTAAGAAACTAAGTAGAGAGTTTAAAACAAAGCTCTTTTGGATGGATCCTCTCAAAGCTAACAAGCAGCCACCAGGCTCACAGCATCTGATAACTCCAAACTTAAGCCAAATGGCTCACTCTAAACTTTTAACAATGACCAAACATACCAATAAAATTACAGACTAATAGGAATGACACTATTTTCCATATGTTTGTTTATGTGTGTGTGTGTGAGAGAGAGACAGAGAGAGAGAGAAACAGAGAGAAAAGACAGGGAGAGAGAAGAAGGGAATGGATAGACTAAGCAAGTATAAACTTACCTGAAACAGCCTGGTAAAAATATCAAATTCAAAAACTGAAATGTAATCATTGCAAGTTAAATCAATTGTTGATTTTAGAGCCATTGCTTCCAGGCCAGAGCTAATCTGGTGGACCTCATGAAGGCACTGTCTGAATACTTTCCATGGTACGATAGTTCTGTGCAAGGTGGAAAAAAAGGGAAATAATTGAATCAAGTATCATTTAAGAAATACCTCCCTTTGAAGCAGCAAAATTCAATAATAAAATTAATATAATTGTATTTGTACTACCAGACAAATATTTGAGAATATTGTTCATATTTCAGAACAAATGTAGTGGGTTCTGTTTAACTCAATTATTTTGCATTTGCTAAGAATATGACAAAAATTTAAATTAATTTTCTCTCAAACAGTCCTAGGCTATCAAGATAGCTATAGAAACATATCTGAAAAAAGGTATTAGGTCAAAGTCTTATGTGTCATGACCTCTTCATGTGTGTATACAAGGTTATTTAATAATGAATCAAGATTTAATTCTCATTTTCTAAAAACAGTCATAAGATGATGGGTCCATATAATAATAGAAATCCTTTATTCATTGCACAAATGAGTAATATGTATCAACCAATTCAAGAAGGCTAAGGTAGAAAGCCATCAAGACATTTCTGCCACAACCCTGATGTTTTCTGCAGAGATGAAAAACATACGTTATCTAACTTTTCATATTAATACAAAAGAAAAACTTAATTTTTAAACCAACCACAATGGTTATATCATGGGAGTTTATTCAATATTTATTACTTTATTCTGACTGAATATCATTCGACAAAATTTTAACATGTTATGCAGTTACATGATTCAAAAAATTTAGAAGAGCACAGAATGGTAACTAGGGAAACGTCTCTCAACCTATCCCCACCTGACCAGTTTCCAACTCACCTACCCTCTTTCCCACCATGAAAATTAGTGACACCCAGGATGCATTTCTTAGTTAACCTTCCTGCTTCAGAATAATGCCTATTCCTAATTCGGCAGAAGAAAGAAATCATTCAGTTTTTAAAACTTAAACTACAATTTTTACAACAGAATAGCATAAAAGCCGTCCCTCTTATAAGATAACATCCTCTTATAAGATAGCAAATATTTAAATCTTAGGTTTCCTTTACCAGTATCTCTGAAATACAAGACTCAGGCAGAATAAACTAAATTGTGCCTGGCCCCATGCTATATCAATCCTCTTCAATGAGATATCACCATAAAGGTACAACTTTCATATTCATTCAATAATTTTCTATAGCAGTGTTTGTCAAACTTCAGCATGCATCCAAATTATCTGAAGGGCTTGTTAACATAGCCTGATCCTCAACCCAAGATATTATGATTCAGTAGCATTGGGGTGGGGCCTGAACACTGACAGCCATAAAATGTTCCCTGAGGCTGCTGCTGCTGCTGCTGCTCTAGAGACAACACTTTGAGAGCCTACTATATCTATTCATTGCTAAAACAAGGCACTGTTGGGGAAATACAATTATAGAAATAAAGATAACATCTTTGTCTCTGAAGATCACACTTTAGGGACAGAAGTAAAACCTGTAATGCTAAAGAATCTAGAGTGGGGTATGTAAGGACAATGCTAGCTGGGTGATGGATACACAGCAAGGGCTGGAGGGATTCCAGAGAAGCAGTCTGTGGGAAGTGGCATAAATTAATGGTGAGACAGGTTGACAACACTATGCTGTATTTATAAGAGAGTTTAGGTTTCAGGTACCATTAAAAGAAGAAAAATATGAGGCTTAATACCTCAAAAAGTGTTTCTCTATGTATGAAAAAAACAGGAAACCACAGAGAACTGAGGAGAGATACCACATCAGATGCCATTTAGAAGAAACACACGTCAGGCTCTGATTAAGGTTAACAAAATGCTGCTGTTTTTTTTAAAAAAAAAAGGAACACTTTTAAGAATATTAGGAAGCTGTTGATTTACAATGAAGTATAAATATGCAATTATGTCCAGCTTCATTATAATTACCATAAAACTAATGTCTAAGAAGTACATTTTTCTTTTCCAAATTAAAGTTTCAAATACTCAACACACAAAAGGGACATTGATCATGATACTCAGAGTAAAAAAAATATGATCAGGGAACCACTGACTTCAGAACAGTATAAATTTTATTTTTCGTATGAAGAAGTTAAAGCATTTTTGTTTCGTATATAAAGTATACAACGTAAAGTGGTCAAATTGTCAATATTTATTTTGTGTATAACATATAAAGTTTTTTTAAAAAGGCCAAATAGACATCTTCCACATCTGTTACTATAAAAATTATTCTAATCTAGCATTTACAGTGAATTCAATTCATAACTCTTTTGAGCACTCAGTGATTTCCCAGAGCCAGTTATACGAGATGTATGAACTTAAGAAAATTTTAGTCTAATGTACCCCTTCATAATAACAATTTACAAAAGGACAAGCTACATTTCCACAGTACTTGTGTAAATGAAACTTTGTCAGATTACTTGTGATAAACCTCAAATCCAAAGAGGCATTCACTGGAATCTTAATTAGTGGTAGTAATAGGGATTAGGGAGCCAGGGCACTATTTTGTTAACTTTTCATATATGAGTGTTTGCGCAACAGATAACCCTCATTTGATCACTTCAGCAAAACACCCATTATTGTGTAGGAGGTGGGGCTGGGGAACAGAGGTAGGGGGAAGGGGATTTCAAGAATGAAGAATAGAAATAGAGTACAACAACAAAGTCTTTAAAAACAAACAAAAAAATTAGATTATTCTAAACTGTTGCACTAAGGCTCTAAACTTTCTTAAGACTAAGTGGCTACCATTCTTCTCTGAGGTATATGAGAGGAAGTGAACCCAGAAAGCATGAATTTTCACACCTCCATTTAAACTTCTGCAAAAAGACAGTGGTGGTTTCTACTACCTCTTCCTTTAGAGATGAAGCAAATGAGAGAAAATATCAATAGCAAATTGTTTTACAAATGTAGAAATTTCAGGGTGCTGGCAGAGACCTGGGAAGAAGAAAAGGGAAGAGAGAGAGAGAGAGAGAGAGAGAGAGACAGAGAGAGAGAGAGAGAGAGAGAGAGAGAGAGAGAGAAAATAAAAAGGCCAACTAAACTCCAAGTTTTCACTAATCCAAAAATCTTTCAATATATTCTATTGACCCTTACAATTATAAACCACTTAAGTTGCAGGCTGAATCGCTTTTAAAATACAGTGAACAAGTATAAGTAACTGTCAATCTACAAAGAATAGAATACATGACCAATGGATAGCCATGCACCTGTAATAATAATATAATTTCAGGATCTTTTTATTTCAAATAAGAGTAAGAACTGCCATTTATTGATGGCTTACTACCACCTATCTATTACACAGAAATCTATTAATGACTTTTTGTTAAAGTGATAGTTCTGTTCATATAATATCATGAGAGATAAGAACATGATAAATAAGACTATGTTATAATCCTGTTATTAGATAATGAGTTCTAGTCTGTCTACCAAAAAACAATAGTAATCCTCTTTAAAGTCTTGAAAAACAGTATCTTTTCTTTTTTTTTTTTTTTTTTTTATTATACTCTAAGTTTTAGGGTACATGTATGTGCACATTGTGCAGGTTAGTTACATATGTATACATGTGCCATGCTGGTGCGCTGCACCCACTAATGTGTCATCTAGCATTAGGTATATCTCCCAATGCTATCTCTCCCCCCTCCCCTGACCCCACCACAGTCCCCAGAGTGTGATATTCCCCTTCCTGTGTCCATGTGATCTCATTGTTCAATTCCCACCTATGAGTGAGAATATGCGGTGGAAAAACAGTATCTTTTCAAAGACAATGGGATTAATCAGATGCAGGGAAATAAATCTGGAAAGGTGTCAGCTGGTCAGTAGTTGACAAATCACTTAATCTTCCAGGCTTGTTTTCTCCTGTGTAAATGTGGAGAAGTGTATTAGATATTCTAATTTGAAAATCCTGCAATTTTAAGAAAAGGTAAGAAGAATGGAAAATAGAAAGTGTGAGGAGAATGATTTCTTTTAAAAAAAAAAAGGTAAAATATTTTCATGAAACCACTAGTTCATAAAAGGCTACAGGGTTTTAGTTTCAACTGATAGGAAAAAATGAAAAACATTTCATACAACAAAGGGTGAACATCAACAGAAGCCAGGGTGTTTGCAAACAGGAACTTCTGTATACTACTGGTGTGAATGAGAATTTACACAGCACTTCTAGAAGGCAATTTGGAAACAAATTTCAAAAGCCTATACATTATGACTAAGAACATCTACTTCTAGGGATTTCACCTAAGGAAATTATGTCCAAAAAATACATAGCAGCCAAAGGCCCATCCACAAGTCTTTTATATGCAGTGTTGTTTATAAGAGCAAAATATTTGAAAACAAATACGTTCACTAGTAACAATTTTGTGCAGAAAAATATTTATTGTCGTGGAAAAGTGTTCATGGGATACTACTAAATGGAAATAGTATTTTTAAAATTTTGTCCTTTATGATCCAATGTTAAACTATAATGTCTGGAGATGCCACAAATTTAATAACTGGCTTGTGGAAGGGATTATAAGTGATTTCAAAAATATATTTTCTGTATTTGTTCATGGTTTTTAACTTTTTATATGTCTAATATGCTCTAGTGTACTAAAAGAATAGAAGATGTACTAAAACTTTTAAATGTATATAATCGTAGAAGAATCAATGAAAACCACAAAGCAGTGTCTGCTTATGACATAGCTTTATATGTAGAAAATACAAAAATTTTACAGATTAAACTATAGGAAATAAGAAAATTGAACATGGTTGCTGAACACAAAATTGATATAAAATATCAGTTGTAGTTTTATATTGGCTATATATAACTAGAAAATGAAACTTTAAACATTTAATTTTTATAATGCTATCTAAAAGTCCCAAATAAATAGAAATAAAGCTAACAATAGATGAGCAAGGCAAAAATATCAACATACACCCATACACAGAGATATAAAAAACATAAATAAAGGTATGTAACACTTTAATGGTAGATTCATATTATAAAGAGTCAGTTCTTCCCAAATTAGTCTAAAAATTTAATGTAACTCAAATAAACAATCCCAGGAGGTATTTTTTGTAGTAGATACTAAAAACTGGTTCTGAACTTTATGGGACATGCAAGAGTCAAGAACAAAAAAGGTAATCTTCACTAGGAACATTAACAAGTATGTACTCTTTACATTAATTAAGACAATGTGGCATTGGTACAAGCATAAACAAATAGATGGAACAAAACTAAAATTTTAGAAACTTATGTACCCATATATAAACACTGGATGATAGAGTTTGGGTATTTGTTCCCCCCAAACCTCATATTGAACTGTAATCCTCAATTTTGGAGGTAGAGCCCAGTGGGAGGTGATCGGATCATGGGAGCATATTTCCAATGAATGGTTTAGCACCATCTCCTTGGTGCCATCCTGACGACAATGAGTTCTTACAAGATCTGGTTGTTTAAGTGCACGGCACCTCCCCTTGCTCTCTCTTGCTCCTGCTCTCACCACATGTGACATGCAGGCTCTGTTTCACCTTCTGCCATGAGCAAAAGCTCTCTGAGGCCTGCCTGGAAGCCAAGCAGATGCTAATACCATGCCTGTACAGCCTGCATAACCAAGGGCCCAATAAACCTCTTCTCCTTGATGTTATATATCCAGTTTCTGTGTTAGGTTGTTTTAGCAGTGCTATAAAGAAATACCTGAGACTGGGTAATTTATAAATAAATAATCAAATGAATAGGTTAATTGTGGTACAGCTATACAATGAAGGAAGGAGAATGAACAAAGTACTGCTACATGCAAGTAAAGAGTTGAATTCCATAAACATAAAGAGAGGAAGAAGCCAGTTTTTTCCAAAAGAGTATAATTAGTATGATTTCAACTATGTATGATTTATGATGGCATGTATCAGAACTACTGGGTGGTGACTATGTGCGACTTTCTGACGCGCTGAGAGAGGGCGTCTTCCAAGATGCAGGCAGCAAGGTATTACTACTTTATCTGGGTAGGAGATAAACATGGATACATACTGTAAACATGGATTATGTTTACTTCATAAAAATTTCTCACTCTATATGTATGATTTGTGTACTTTTCCCCATGTACATTAAACTTCAATCATATATTTAAATTTTAAAAAATATTACACTAAAAATCTAAGACTAAAAATCAGATACATGGGAATGAACAAAGTAACTACCATAATACAAACAAGGAAATCAACATGTTTGTTTATTGTTGGTTTGTTTTGTTGCTGTGGTATTAGTGGTGGCAGGTGTTTAAGATCCATTGTAGCTCAGGAATATATACTGTCATCCTCATTTTAAACAAAAAGAAAATATGTTCTATATTCAGCAGCCCAACTCTATTTCTAATTTTATGTAAATGTTGTCAGAAAATTCACCTTGATCAACTAAGATATGTTCAATGTCAGTATCTTTAAACAGAGGGCAAGCTTTGTTCAGAAGATAATAGGATATTTGTAACATATTTGATATGTTTTGATTACATTATGGACACAAAATATTAGCGCTGTGATTCCTAAATCTGTTGACATTTTGTATACAGTTATTCCTTAAATCCAACCTTCTTTTATCATGACTCCATTTTTTAAGAATATGAAGATAGATTCTTATGGGACCATTATTACTCTTGCTGTTCTATCAATAAGGGAAAAGCAATTGTTTTCCAGCAACCCACAGAAACAGCATATCAAAACACTCTGGTTACATAGTCACCATACAGCAAGTCATCTTTGATAGGATGGCAACCATAGTTACCAAGGATATTCATAATTAGATTGAACCACTCTTCCTTATACATGAAAATTCCTGACACGATAAAGACACAGATGCTGGGTATTTATGCTGCATAATTTTTATTTGTCAAAAAGCTCATAACACTTTGTCTCTAGTGCAGATAAGCACTACTGTCGCTTATTGTTTGTGTGTCACTTTTCCAGCCAGAAACCTCTGTGATTGGTTGCGCCATTACCCGAGTTTTGCTCAGGCCTGCTGGGCTCATTCCACTGACTCAACCTGGCGGGCCACGCTCACCATGCACTACCAGCACAGATCCCACACCTGCCAAGGACGAGTCAGATGCGGAGCAGCAAGTGGTGCATGAACAAGTGAGCATGGAGTCCAGCCACTGCGCACAGCCAAGCACACTGGCTGCTGTAGCAGGGCGGGCAGCTCCAGGCACCAGCACAGGCACCGGCTCTGGGCAAGCCAGTGGCTGGATCTGATGCACAGCAAGTGGCTTCCACTGTGGGCACCTGTGTCTGGAGGAGGGGAACCAGTGGCACCCAAAAGCTTGGAGACTCCAGAAACTGCAGTCTCCCAAATGGGGCTTCACAGCCTAGCTCAGGGAGCCTGTAGGTGTGGGCTCCCCAAAGGGCCACAGCTCTTCTCTCCTTCTCATTGCCCACAATGTGGGGCGTGAAGGGGGTGGAGGGTGGGCACATTTCAGCCCTGTTTGTGTTACTGTTTTTTCAGTCCTGCCATTTGGCAGGCCCTGAGTTCTTGTCCCGTGTCCAGGAAGAATGAGGTATACAAACAACTGGAGGGTGGGAAGGCAGAAAGGAGCTTTACTGAGCAGCAGAACAGCACTCAGGAAACCCAGAGTGGGTAGCTCCTTTCTGCAGGCAGATCATCCCAAGGAGTCAAAGAGACTCAAATTGGGTAGCTTCTTCCTGTAGCTGGTAGTCTGATGTCTGTGTGAGTCTGGCTGGGTCTGGAGTTTTTCATGGGCTCAGAAGGAAGGAAGTGTGTGCTGACTGGTCCAAGGGCAGGCCCAGAAAAAGCTCCATAAGTTTTCACTCCCACTGTGAACTCCACCAGGAACTGACAGCCCGGCCCTGAGGCTGTAGGCTGTCCCTGTCTTGAAGGTAGGGCTTCAATGGGGACCTGCCCCTTTCCACCCATGAGCCTGTCTGCCTCCTGCTGCCACCAATCATGTCATCTACAGGCTGTTTCTGTGGAGGGTCACCTGCAGGCCCATGCGGAGCTACCCTCAGCCCAACCCCGTCGGCCTCCCTCCAGTGCTCCTTGGTCCCAAAGTCTGGAAAGGGATGCGGTGGCAGGGGGCTGGCATGTCAGCGCCACCCTGAGTGTGTGCACACCCAGCCAGGTCACAACAGTGCCCAGGCTTGGCCACAGCTTTGCTCCATCCCAGAGCAGGCACTGTGAGCAGGGTGAGGCCAGACAGCAGGAGCAGGCACTTCCAAGCCTGCTGGGGTAGGGGGACTTCCTGGGCCCCCAAGAGTATAGGGATGCCCAGGTCCATAGCTGCAGCTGCTCCTGGAAGCATGGGGCTCCAACCCCACCAACTCGGAAGAGGGTGGGGCTCCTGCCTGTTCCCAGATCCCACCTGCTCCATAGAGCACACAGCCCTGGCCATGCCTCCCCTACTGCAGCATCTTTGCAGCAGCCACTCCAGATGGGCAGCTGGGGCCATCATTACTTCTCTGTATAGTGGACAAGTATCTTTCACATATTCATATTCTGCAGCCTAAATCTATAATCATATTTTTATAAGATTGCAGGAACACAGGAAATAGTGTCTTTAGTATTATTTCTAATCTTCTCAATTATTTTGTTCACATGATAGATTTAATGCTTTCTAACTTCTGGTCTCACATCCTAACCTTGGAACATAATAAACAATAAATTTGCTATAGTCATAAAATTATTTGTACATAATTCTATTTATTTTCCAACTTAGAAAATAAAGTTCATTAGTGGAAAGGAACAGGAAGAGAAGCTGCAAGTATAATCCATAATAATGTGTAAAAATTCCATTAAAAATTTTTCCACTTAGAAGCCACTGACTGTAAAAAATAGAAAGATTCAGGTTTTAAACAATGAATACTTGTTCTTTTCTTTCTAAAGTACAACTGTTCTTCAGTATATATTCTCTGAAAGTTCACCAATACAGGATAAATTCATGAGATACAGCAGCTCA
This sequence comes from Homo sapiens, assembly GCF_000001405.40. Classification (NCBI taxonomy): domain Eukaryota; kingdom Metazoa; phylum Chordata; class Mammalia; order Primates; family Hominidae; genus Homo; species Homo sapiens. The sequence continues at coordinate 105,760,474 of NC_000003.12, forward strand.
TGGGTTATGCAAGATACCTTTGATATGCTGAAATCAGATTAAATAAAATAAAAAAATTTCATACTCTAGAAAGTGCTACCAAAGAGAGGTTTAAGTAAGGCTTTAAAATGATCCTCCCTTTAGCAATGAGAGCTCAGAATTACAAACAAAAAAAAAAGTCAATAATAAAACAAAGTTCCTTGTAAGTCTCTCAACATGAGCCAATTAAATTAACAACCAATGAGTGAAGTCTCCTAGATGTATAAGATAAACTGAGGCAAAAAATAAAGAGCTTCTGATAACATTTCTAAAACCCTGAAAGAAAAAACTCTGCATATATTGTTGTGCATAATTAAATCCATCAAAAAGTCCTTTTAATAAAACTACTGATATTTTAAATAACTCCTTTGTTATTAAAGATTAACAAAACAAAAACAAATCTATACAAGAAAAACAACTACTGCATTTCCTATTAATAACCAACATTTAAAATAAGGAAGAATAGAAAGATCAATCATTAGCAGTCTATTACCGAAATGTAAATACCTACACACTGACTTTATTGTTGTTGTTTTTGTTTTTCATTTCATTTTGTTTTGTGGCAGGGTCTCATTCTGTCACCCAGGCTGGAGTGCAGTAGCATGATCTTGGCTCACTGCAACCTCGACCTCCCAGGCTCAAGTGATTCTGGTGCCTCAGCCTCGTTAAGTAGCTGGGATTAAAGTGTGCGCCACCATGCCTAGCTAATTTTTGTATTTTTTGTAGAGACAGAGTTATGCCATGTTGCCAGGCTGGTCTCGAACTTCTGGACTCAAGTGATCCACCTGCCTTGGCCTCCCAAAATACTGGGATTACAGGCATGAGCCACTGCACCCACCCCCTAAACACTGATTTTAATAATGATATGGTTTGGCTGTTTCCCCACCCAAATCTCATCTTGAATTGTAGCTCCCATAGTTCCCACATGTTGTGGGAGGGACCAGGTGGGAGATAACTGAATCATGGGGGCAGTTTCCGACATTCTATTCTTGTGGTAGTAAATAAGCCACATGAGATCTGAGGGTTTTATAGGGGTTTCCCTTTTTGCTTAGCTCTCATATTTTCTCTTCTCTGCTGCCATGTAAGATGTGCCTTTTATCTTCTGCCATGATTGTGAGGTCTCCCCAGCCACATGGAACTGTGAGCCCATTAAACCTCTTTTTCTTTATAAATTACCCAATTTTGAGTATGTCTTTTTCAGCAACATGAAAATGTACTAATACAGTAAATTGGTGCCAGTAGAGTGGGGTGCTGCTGTAAAGATACCCAAAAACTGTGGAAGCAACTTTGGAACTGGATAACAGGGAGAGGTTGGAACAGTTTGGAGGGCTCAGAAGAAGAGAGGAAGATGTGGGAAAGTTTGGAACTTCCTAGACACTTGTTGAATGGTTTTGACGAAAATGCTGATAGTGATATGGACAATGAAGTGCAGGTTAAGGTGGACTGAGATGGAGATGGGGAACTTGTTGGGAACTGAAGTAAAGGTGACTCTTGCTATGTTTTAGCAAAGAGACTGGCAGCATTTTGCCCCACCCTAGAGATCTGTGTAACTTTTAACTTCAGAGAGATAATTTAGGGCATCTGGCAGAAGAAACTTCTAAGCAGCAAAGCGTTCAAGAGGTGACTTGGGTACTGTTAAAAGCATTAAGTTTTATTCATTCACAAAGATATGATATGGAATTGGAACTTATGTTTCAAGAAGAAGCGGAGCATTAAAGTTCAGAAAATTTGCAGCCTGACAATGTGATAAAAAAGAAAAACACATTCTCTGAGAAGAACCTCAAGCTGGCTGCAGAAATTTGTATAAGTAAGGAGGAGCCAAATGTTAATCACCAAGACAATGAGGAAAATGTCTCCAGGGCATGTCAGAGGTCTTCACGGCAGCTTCTCTCATCACAGGCCTGGAGGCCTAGGAAGAAAAAATGGTTTCATTGGCTGTACCCAAGGCCTTGCTGCTTTGTGCAGTCTCAGGACTTGGTGCCCTGCATCCCAGCCATGGCTATAAGGGGCCAATGTTGAACTCAAGCTTTTATTTCAGAGGGTGCAAGCCTCAAGCCTTGGCAGCTTCCACATGGTGTTTGAGCCTGCAGGTGCACAGAAGTCAAGAAGTTAAGGTATAGGAATCTCTGCCTAGATTTCAGAAGATGTATGGAAATGCTTGGACATCCAGGTAGAAGTTTGCTGCAGGGGCAGGGCTCTTGTGGAGGTAGACATCTGCTGCAGGGGCAGAGCCCTACCTCTGCTAGAGCAGTGTGGGAGGGAAATGTGGGGCTGAAGCCCCCACACAGAGTCTCCACTGGGGCACTGACTAGTGGAGCTGTAAGAAGAGGGCCACCGTCCTCCAGACCCCAGAATAGTAGATCTACCAACATTTTGCACCATGCACCTGGAAAAGCCAGACACTCAACATCAGCCCATGAAAGCAACCAAGAGGGAAACTGTACCCTGCGAAGCCACGGGGTGGAGCTGCCCAAGAGCATGAGAGCCCACCTCTTACAACAGCGTGCCCTGGACGTGAGACACGGAGTCAAAGGAAATCATTTTGGAGCTTTAAGGTTTGACTGGCCCGCTGGATTTCGGACTTGTGTGGGGCCTGTAGACCCTTTGTTTTGGCCAATTTCTCCCATTCAGAATGGCTGTATTTCCCAGTGCCTGTATCCCCATTGTACCTAGGAAGTAACTAACTTGCTTTTGATTTTACTGGCTCATAAGTGCAAGAGACTCTTGTTATCTCAGATAAGACTCTGGACTGTGGACTTTTGAGTTAATGCTGGAATGAGTTAAGACTTTGGGGGATTGTTGCGAAGGCATGATTGTGTCTTGGAATGTGAGGACATGAGATATGGGAGGGGCCAGTGGCAGAATGACATCGTTTGGCTGTGTCCCCACCCAAATTTCATCTTGAATTGTTAGCTCCCATAATTCCCACATGTTGTAGAAAGGACCTAATAGGAGGTATTTGAATCATGGGAGTGGTTTCCCACAAACTATTCTTGTGGTAGTGAATAAATCTCACATTGGCTCTCATTTTCTCTCATCTGCTGCCACGTAAGAAGTGCCTTTCGCCTTCCACCACGATTGTGAGGTCTCCCTAGTCATGTGGAACTGTGAGTGCATTAAACTTCTTTTTCTTTATAAATTAGTCTCAGGTAGGTCTTTATCAGCAGCATGAGAACAGACTAATATAAGTAAGTTTTATTTACTTTGCTATTAAGTCACACTTTCTCTACCAGCAGAACATGATCCTAAAAAACCAAAGAATGAGATTCTACTCTTCTTGCAAGCTAAGAAGTTGGCCTATCACAGTTTCATGTATAGTGGCAGAAGATACTGGGTTTCTGTCAAAGGACTGGGTCAGAGTCAAAGGACTTTGTTACTCACAGCAAGAGCAGTGGCTAGAGTACCAGCATTTTCTTGCCCTTGTTCCCTAAACACAAATTCTCCTAAAAGATGCAAAGAGGGCCAGGTGACATCTGCATACACTGTGGGTTTGATTCTGGAGTAGAACCTAGAACTTAAGGAACCCAAATATTTTGTAATGGATAATGCATATCCTTTGACCCAGGGAGAAATACTACCTCTATTTTACAAGGCTTTAAGATCCTTGCTCTAGAAGGAGACCTTCTCTCTCTTTATTGACCCAAGTAGACACATCCAGCAGAGAAGAGAACAAATGTTTAGAGGATTAAGACCAGGACCTCTATAAATCCAGGGGCACACACTATTAGTCCAGTGGTTCCAAATAGCTTTCAGATATTAAAAAATCAAATATCTGGGGACCAGGTATATAATATAAATTAGTAAAGATGTCCAGGAAAGGATTGTGATGAATTAGAAGAGAGATTATCTAAGAAAAACAGCTGGCACACAGGTCTAGCCAATTGCTGTCATATCACAATTCATATCTATTGTTGCCATCATTCCCAGTTTTTCAGTTTCAAAACAGTATTTTTTGTGTGAAACAAATAGTTTTTGGGCACTATGAACCATGCCCATGTAAGACAGCAAACTTAATGGTATATGTTCTCACTGCTCCACCAACACTGTTCTCTTTTCTCTCTCCCTCTCCTGGGGACTTTCTATTCCCTAAGACACAACAACACTGAAATTAGGCCAAATAGTAACCCTAAAATGACCTCAAGTGCTCAAGTGAAAGGAATAGTCACAAGTCTCTAATTATGGACATGATTAAGTTTAGTGAGAAAGGCATGTCTAAATCTGACATAGGACAAAAGTGAGGCCTCTTGCACCAAACAGTTAGGCAAGTTGTGAATGGAAAGGAGAAGTTCATGAAGGAAATTAGAAATGCTACTTCAGTGAACACATGAATGATAAGAAAGCAAAACAGCCTTACTGGTGATATGGAGAAAGTTTTGGTGGTTTGGTTAGATCAAACTAGCCACAATATTCTGTTAGGCCAAAGCCGAATCCAAAACAAGGCCCCAACTCGCTTCAATTCTGTGAAGGGTAAGAGAATTCAGGAAGCTTCAGAAGTAAAGTTTGAAACTAGCAGAAATTTGTTTATGGGGTTTAAGAAAAGAAGCTCTCTCTAACATAAAAGTGCAAGGTGAAGCACCAAGTGCTGATGTAGAAGCAACAAGTTATACAGAAGATCTAGCTAAGATCATTGATGAATGTGGCTACACAAAACAACAGATAATTAATGTAGATGAAACAGCCTTAAGATGAAAGAAAATGCTATCTAGAAAATGCTAGGGCTAGGGAGAAGTCAATACCTAGCTTCAAAGCTACATGATGGGTTCAATCATACCCCAAACCTCAGCATCATGCAATATGCAATTACTTGCATATGTACCCCCTAAATAACCTCCAAAATAAAGGTTGAAAAAGAAAAAACAAAAGCCCCCTGATAGTTGCTCACTCTTTCTACCATGTGAGGATATTGCAAAAAGATGTTTGGCCATCTGTAAATTAGGAAGTGGGTCCTTACCAGACAATTTGTCAGCACCTTGATCTTGGACTTCCTAGCCTTCAGAACTATGAGAAATAAATTTCTGTTCTTTATTTAAAAAAACAAAAAGCTTCAAAGGACAGGCTGACTCTTGTTAGTGGCCAATAAAAGTGATGACTTTAAGTTGAACACAATGTTCATTCACCATTCCAAAAATCCTAGGTCCTTTAAGAATTACGCTAAATCTACTCTTCCTGTGCTCTACAAATGGAACAAAAAACCTGGATTACTGAATATTTTAAGCCTACTGTTGAGATATGCTGTGTAGAGAAAACAATTCCTTTCAAAATAGTACTGCTCATTGGCAATGCCCCTGATCACCCAAAAGATTTGATGGAGATGTACGAGGAGATTAATGTTGTTTTCATGTCTTCTAACACAGTACTCATTCTGCAGCCCATGAATCAAGGAGCCATTTTGACTTTCAAGTCTTATTATTTAAGAAATACATTTCCTACGGCTATAGCTGTCATATATTGTGATAGCTCTGGGCAAAGAAAATTCAAAACCTCGTGGAAAGGATTCACCTTTCTAATGCCACTAAGAACATTTATGATTCAAGGGAGGAGGTCAAAATATCAACATTAACAGGAGTTTGGAAACAGTGAATTCCAAATCTCATGGATGACTCTGAGGATTTCAAGACTTCAGTGGAAGAAGTAACTGTAGATGTAGAATTTGCTAGAGAACTAGAATTAGAAGTAGAACCTAAATATGTGGCTAAATTGATGCAAATCTCATAAAATTTGAACAGACGAAAACTGCTTCTTATAGAAAAGCAAAAAAGTGCTTTCTTAAATGTAATTTACTCCAGGTGAAGATGCTGTGAACACTGCTGATATTACAATAAAGGATTTAGAATATTGCAGACACTTGGTTGATAAAGCAGTGGCAGGGTTTGAGAGGACTGACTCCAATTTTGAATGAAACTCTATTGTGAGTAAAATATTATCAAACAGCATTGCATGTTATAGATAAATATTACATGAAAGGAAGAACCAATTGATGTAGTAAACTTCACTGCTGCCTAATTTTAAGAAATTGCCACAGCCACCTTAACTTTCAGCATATGATCAGTCAATAGCCATGAACATCGAGGCACAACTCTCCAGCAGCTAAAAGATTACAACTCACTGAAGGCTCAGCTGATTGTTAGCATTTTTTAGCAATTCTTTTTTAGTTAAGGTACATATATTTTTTTAGACATAATGCTACTGCACACCTAACAGACTACAGTATAGTATAAATACAACTTCTATATTCACTAGGAAGACAAAAATAATCTAAGTGACTTGCTTTATTGCAATATGCACTTCATTGCGATGTACTTTATTGCAGTGGTCCCAAACTAAACCCACAATATCTCTGAGGTATGCATGTACTAGTAAATTAATTTATTATTTGTGATATTCTTTATGTGATTTTCTAATGGTACAGAGCTGATTTTAAGTATTTATCTTCTTTTTATATCCTGTCTTCCCCAAACTGAATATTGCTTACAGGTAGAAAATTACAATTGGCATCTTAGTTGTTTTGTATCTTGTTACAATGAATTGAACAAAATAGGCCTCCAATAGATATGTAAGTTTTTATTTTCCTTATTGACATAAAGATACCTGAAATTTTTTTTAACAGGCAACAAAGGGAGGTAGCTAACTAGTAGAAATATTAACTAGTGATTCTTTGAATCCTACTTTAGTTCTTTTTTCTTTCTCTTTAGAGTATCTGCTAAAAATTTTCATTGTAAAAACTCTTAATTTCTACTGTGTACCACTTCTTTTAATTTAATATAATTAGGTTGTGTTTTCTTTACCTAGAGGGAAAACTGAGCTAGTTAATATGCTAGAAGAATATATATCTCACTCGCTGGAAAGGTAAAGAAAGTATTTTCCTTTCTTTCATATTAAAAGTGAAAGGAAAATACGGGAAACCAAAGAAGGCCCTTATTGCTTTTGCAGGAAATCAATCATAGAGGCAATAAATTGAGCTATAAATAAACCATTTTCCCCCTGTGGTAACCAAGACAGTTTCTTATTTTCAATTCTACCTTCATCTCGGGATACACATAAAATAATTTTTAAAATTTTTCTTTTTCTTTCTTTTTTTTTTTTTGCTTTTAGATTGCTACAGAGTATGAAACTTCCATCATACAAAGTCAAATGTAAATTACATTATTTAGAGAATTTGGACCACTTTTAAAGGTTTCAATTGGTTAATTATTCCACAAAATAGAATATTTATTATATGCTAGACACAGTTTTATGTGCCTTACAGGTAAGGTTTAGCTATTTTAAGCCGTCATAACAACCATTGATGGTAGGTATTATTAGTATCATCTACATTTTATAAATGAGGAAAAAGATGCATAGAAAAACCAACTAGATTCCCCAAAGTCACAAAGTGAGTAAATGTTGCAGTCAGAACCTGTCCAGGGACAGATAATCTGGCTGCAGAGCCTGCATGCCAAACCCTAAGTATGCTGTCTCCCAATCAATCAAGCAAGCAGGCTCCATCTCACACATACACATGCTAATGCACATTCCTCTACTTCTCAACTCATCTGAATTAAATGTACAATGGTTCCTGAAAGCCTGTATATAAAACATTGTGCTGAGCTACTTTAGAAATACAAAGATGAATAAATAAGCTTGATTTCATGGAGCATATAGTCTAGGGGGAAGTATGACAACTAGACAAATACTTGTAATAAAACCATAAAAATAGTAAATGCAGAAGATAAGCCAGAGCTTAGCGAAGTTTAAGAAGAGATCTAGTAATAACACTAATGGGAAAAATTATGAGCAATATTATCTTTGAGGGATTAGTAAGAATTGTTATGCCAGAGATTATAAAAATCTTCAAGTAGAAGGAGCAATATAAGCAAAGACATAGAAACCTATAATTGCTGATGTGTCCAGAAAGAGCCAAATAAGCCAATTTGACTGAAGAACAGAACATAAGTAAAGGAAGAGAGAGCTTAAATGGCAGAAAAGTTGCATCCTATACTCATACATTCAACTAATAACTACTAAATGTCTACAATGTATATGGTACGTAAAAGACTCATTCAACAACCATTTACAAAGTAGTTTAAAGATTATATTGAAAATGAGGCTAGCATATGTGAAAGCACTGAACACAAAATCTGACATACAATAACTCTAATAAATGTGTCTGTTTTCACCAACTTTTGCATAGAAAGTCATTGAAGACTCTTGCAATCAAGCAAGAAAGACCTACATAGTAAACACATTTTACAATATAAATGTGTCTAAAATACAACAGCAACCAAAGTATAGAGTAATTAACATAGATCACGTAGAAGGGTGTATATGAATGAGAAAAACTCAGAAAAGTGGACTTATGAACTGAACTTAAAGAAAGGTGTCAAAATTCTGAGACAGATGAAAAGAAAGAGGGAAGAGAGGCATCTAAGGAATAGAAATGTAGGAACTGATCATTTAAAAAGAGATCAATTTATATATAATGAAGTCATTGGAAATTGAGAGTAGAGGATAGACATCGTCCATCTATGCAATTATTCATGTAGTCTGTTAACAATTATTGCCGCCGGGCGTGATGGCTCATGCCTATAATCCCAGCACTTTGGGAGGCTGAGACAGGTGGATCACCTGAGGTCAGGAGTTTGAGACCAGCCTGGCCAACATGGAGAAACTCCACGTCTACTAAACATACAAAAAAAACATTGCCGGGCGTGGTGGTGCATGCCTGTAATCCCAGCTACTTGGGAGGCTGAGGAGGGAGAATCGCTTGAACCCAGGAGGCAGAGGTTGCAGTGAGCCGAGATGGCGCCATTGCACTCTAGCCTGGGCAACAAGAGCAAAACTCCACCTAAAAAAAAAAAATTATTATTGCCTAAACATTCCAGGAAACGTGTCAGGCTCAAAAACACAAAAATAAGTAAGATGCAGTCTCTGCTTCCAAATAAACTTTCCAGTCTATTGGAAACCTCTCAATTGAGAAATGGGGGCATGTCAGCAGTTCACTGTAATATATTTTGACAGATGTGAGCTCAGGTACCTGGCAGCACAGAGTAGGGATATCCATTAGGGTACTAAAGTAAAGCTTTCAAAGTGGCAACACTGGATAGAGCATGGGTGACTGCCTATCCAAGCAGTGAATGCAACATACGAAAACAAAGACAATGAGGAGTAAAAAATGAGACACACATTGGGAAATATGAACAGTATTGAGTTGTTTCTTTGCAGATGAGTTAAGTATACCGAAATGATAAGTAGAAAAAAAGAAGCCAGCGAAAAAGTTTCTAAAGCTTGTGATGTTTAATGTGATTTTAGACTTTAACCTAGAATTAATATTCATGCAAACACTTCAAGCGAAAGACTGGAATGATTAGCTCTGCTTTTTAGACAGCTCACTGGTCCCCTAAGAACAATAGGATAGGTTGTTATTGGAGATAGGGAGACTAATCAGAAGGTTGTTGGGGTAATGCAGAGCATGAATTTAAATTTGAAGAAGAGAATTTTATGTATGGAGAGGAGAGGCTATGTAAGAAGATTCAAGAGTTAGAATCTGTGTTTCTAATTGAATTATAATTTGTTTGGAAATTTATGTCTAAATCTTCTCAATGCTAATTTTTGTTTTTTTTTTTTTTTCAAGATGGCAGACTGGAGGCAGTGTCAGCATGCTTCTCCCACTTGGAAGGACAGAATAATGTGCAGAGATTCAGTGTGAATTTTTTCCCAAAGAACCAACACAGGAACTTAGGAAAACAGAATCCACAGACCCTGTGAAAGAATTGGGAGGCTATAGCCTACTACGTGAGACAGGTGAAAAACTCCTAAGTCCTCAGAGTGCGAGAGGGGAAGAGTCTGCCTCCAAGTACACATCCCCACCAGGGAATCTGAAAATCCAGGCCACTGGAGAAGCCCTTCACCCTTCCAATAGCTGGAACAGATTTAGGGAAATAAAAAAGTAGGAGCCGCAGCAGGACTTCCCAATCTCCAGCATGAACCCAGGGAAGCTATTCCTGAATATATCTCACAGGGACCCTCTGGAAGTCAGCCAATGAGCTCAGGGAAAGGACACAGGGTGAAAGAACCTCCCAACTGAATTTTGTAATATAATCTCGAGTGGAACAAATTCCCTTGAACAGAATGGGGAGGGAGGAGTTGCGGCAAGTGGGAAGTGTGCTGCAGACAGGAGCATAGGAGCTGGGTGCCTGGCCATGCCTGGGAAGACGAAGAGGGGCATGGCTTTTTGAAAGCCATGGCAGCTTTCTATGTGGAGAAGCTTATGACCTGGGGCAGGTCTGAGTTCTGTCTATAGACTACCTGGATCTAAACCAAGCATTGTTAGCAGAGCACTGTGGGAGTGAGATCAGCCTCACCAACTGCAGGAGAGCTGGGTAAGGTTTACTGCCACCCAATAACAATAACAAGCAGTGAGACTGAATCAGTAATTTTAAAAATGCAAACAGAGAAAGTCCAGGACAAGATAGATTCACAACTGAATTCTACCAGACATTCAAAGACAAATTGGTACTAATCCTACTGAAACTGTTCTAAAAGACAGAGAAAGAGGGAATCCTCCGTAAATCATTCTATGAAGCCACTACCATGCTAATATCAAAACCAGGAAAAGACATAACAACAACAAACTACAGACCAATATCTCTGATGAACATAGATGCAAAAATCCTCAACAAAATACTAGCTAACTAATCCAACAGCACAACAAAAAACTAATACATCACAATCAAGTGGGTTTCAGAGATACAAGGACAGTTTAACATATGTAAGTTAATAAATGTGACACATCACATAAACAGAAATTTTAAAAATATATATAATCATCTCAATAGACCCAGAAATAGCATTTGATAACATACAGCACCCCTTTATAATCCCTCAACAAAATATGTATAGAAGAGATTTACCCGAAAGTAATAAAAGCCATATATGTCAAATCTATAGCTAACATCATACTGAATGGCAAAAAGTTGAAAGCATTCCCCCTGAGAATTGTAACCAGATAAAGATCCCCACCTTCACCACTTCTATTCAACCCAGTACTGGAAGTCACAGCCAGAGCAATCCAATAAAAAAAAAGAAAGAAGAAGCATCCAAATTGGAAAAGAGGAAGTCGAACTGTCATCATTCACTGATGATATGATCATATACCTAGAAAAGCCTCAAGATTCATCCAAAAAGCTCCCAGATCTTATAAATGAATTCAGTAAAGTCTCTGGACACAAAATCAATGTACACAAATCAGTGGCACTGCTATACACCAACATAACCAAGCTGAGAATCAAACCAAGAACTCAATCCCCTTTGCAACAGCTGAAAAAAATAAAATAAAATACTTAGGAATATATTTAACCAAGGAGGTGAAAGATCTCTAGAAGGAAAACTACAAAACACTGAAACACAGAAATTATAGATGACACAACAAATGGAAACACATCACCTGCTCATGGATGGGAAGAATAAAATGACCACACTGCTCAAAGCAATCCAGACTCCATGCAATTCCCATCAAAATACCATCAACATTCTTCACAGAACTAGAAAAAACAATCCTAAGATTCGTATGGAACCAAAAAAGAGACCATATCACCAAAGCAATACTAAGCGAAAAGAACAAATCTGGAGGCATCACACTATCTGACCTCAAATTACAACACAAGGCTATAGTTACCAAAGCAGCATGGTACTGGTATAATGACAGGCACATAGACCAATGGAACAGAACAGAGAACCCAGAAGTAAAGCCAAATACAGCTAACTGATCTTCAACAAAGCATACAAAAACATAAATTTGGAAAAGGATACCCTTATTCAATAAACTGTGCTGGAAAAACTGGCAGGCCACATGTAGAAGAATGAAACTGGATCCCCATCTCTCACCTTATTAAAAAATCAACTCAAGATGGATCAAAGACTTAAATCTAAGACCTGAAACCATGAAAATCCTACAAGATAACATCAAAGAAACTCTTCTAGACATTAGCTTAGGCAGAGAATTCATGGCTAAGACCTCAAAAGCAAATGCATAAAAATAAAAATAAATAAATGGGACCTAATTAAAAAGCTTCTGCACAGCAAAAGAAATAATCAGGAGAGTAAACAGACAACTCACACAGTGGGAGAACATACTTGCAAACTATGCTTCTGACAACGGACTAGTATCTAGAATCTACAAGGACCTAAAACAAATCAGCAAGAAGAAAACAAATAATCCCATCAAAAAGTGGGCAAAGGAAATGAATAGACATTTCTCAAAAGACATATACAAACAGCCAACAAACATATGAAAAAATGCTCAACATCACTAATCATCGGGGAAATGCAAATGAAAACCACAGTGAGAAACCACCTTACTTCTGCAACAATGACCATAATTAAAAACAATAGATGTTGTTAAACATCTTTAAAAACAATAGATGTTGACGTGGATGTTGTGAAAAGGGAACACTTCTACATTGCTGGTGGGAGTATGAATTAGTAACAACCACTATGGAAAACAGTATGGAGACTCTTTAAAGAACTAAAAGTAGAACTGCCATTCAATCCAGCAATCCACTGCCAGATACCTGGTCAAAGGAAAAGAAGTCATTATATGAAAAAGACACATGCACACGCTTGTTTATAGCAGCATAATTTGCAATTGCAATGATATGGAACCAACCTAAGTGCACATAGACCAACAAGCGGATAAAGAAAACATGGCATATTTACACCATGGACTATTACTCAGCCATAAGAAGGAATGAAATAATGTCTTTTGCAGCAACTTGGATGGAGCTAGAAACCATTATTCTAAGTGAAGTAACTCAGAAATAGAAAACCAAATATCGTATGTTCTCACTTATAAGTGGGAGCTAAGCTATGAGCAAGCAAAGGCATAAGAATGATATAATGGACTTTGGGGTCGTGGTGGGGAAGGGTGAGAGAGGGGTAAGGGATAAAAGACTACACTACATATTAGGTACAGTGTGCACTGCTCAGGTGACCAGTGCACTAAAATCTTATAAATCACCACTTCAATCAATCACTTTTCTCAATGTCAAAAAGTACTTAAATGAGTCACAAGCTGCTACCTGACTCGCTAAGAAAAATGACTGTCACCCAGAGTCTAATCACATTGATGTGCTTCTTTTTTTAACGCTAGTAATATATTTTTCGAGCTTCATGCTTAAAGTTTCTGGATTATAAGTTATTATTCCAGAGTGTGAAGATTCAGTTTAGTATTGGTCTCATTTTGCTGAACATACTTAGACACATTTATTCAATAATGTCACTTTTCTTTTCCTACAGATTTCTAACTCCTGGTCAACAGACTATGAAAGGAAAAGCATGACTGCATTGTTAAAATATATTCATTTGCATAAAAATTGACCATAAACAGAATCCCCCAACAAATTTGCCATGATACATGTGTTACTGTTCCCCTTGGGCCACAAGGCAGGCAGTGCCTCTTGGCTGCTGGGCTTGGGCCCTGAGCAGAGAGGGTAGCACTACCATGTCTTCAAAAACAACAGTGCTATAGTTTGAATGCCCCTTCCAAAATTCATGTTAAAATTTAATTGCCATTGCGACTGTATTAAGAAGTAGGACCTTCAAGAGGTGGTTAGATCTTGAGGGCGCTGCCCTCATGAATGGATTAATGGTTCTGTTTTAGGAAAGAATGCTGTTTTCAAGTTTAAAGGCACTGGTTGGGCTAAATGAAAGCATTCTTACATGGCCTCAATGAACAGTGAGATAAATGACAGGCATGCTCCCACAGGAGAACTAAGTTTTGGGAAAATACAAACAGTATTAGAGCATAATGGAAAAAAAAAATTCAACCTTTCGAAAGGATACACATTATTCATGCATATGTCCATTCATTCAATAAAATATTATGGAACCACAAGGTAAAAACCTAGGAAGAATAAAAAAATACTTTCTCCAATTATCTAATAAAGGAATAATTAATTTGTATGACTATGGTAATGCATATAAGTTCCAAAAGGAGCATGAAATTTGGCAGTCATCCACAAATTAAAAGTGTTAAAGAAAAATTAAGCAGCTTTCTCAATTCAGTAAAAACAGCAGACAAAAGTGAAAAGACTTGGGAGGTAGGGAAAGTATCTAATCACTATTTCAAGAATCCCTCATTTGATGTAGTAGTGATTTCACTCATGTAGCAGTTGAACAGAAATTTCAGCCCCTTGATGTCTGTGGTTATAAATAAAGGGAAATAAAGATGTCTCAAATGCATAATTTTCTGTGGCTTGAAGTACCAGCAAAGTAAACTCCTCTCTTAAAAAAAACCTGTGAGCAATCTTTCCATTTTTTATTGACCTTATGACAAGTAAACAATTTTATAACTCATCAGAATTTTCAGTTTTCAAAAAGAAATACCATAATCAATTTGTCCTATATATTTTCTTAAAACTTTAAGAGAAAGTTTATTTTGAAGGTTACCGACTGTTTGAACTAAGCTTACAATGTTAATACATGAACTGCAACTACAGGAAACAAACCCTCTCAGTTCCTACACCCTGAACCTGGCAAGATTGTTCTGCTTTCTACAATTAATAAATATTTAATTAGTATAGTCTTAGCTGTCTGTGTTATTCTAATTCAGATAAGGATAAACTTTTTTCTAAATTCTTCATTTCTGAATGAATATATGAACATTATAAATAACTAGATTGCTACAACACAGAATTTCCATGTTAATGGCAACAATGGCATTTTCTCCTTTAGTGCCTAAAAATAATTCAGAATACATTTTAGTACAATGTGGGAAATAGGCTTTAATATTTTGGATGCCAAAAAAATTGTGTGCTTAATGAAATGTACATTACTCTATGTAGGTATATTCCAATCTTGGTGGTGACTATAGTAAACTATAGTACTTTGTAAAGAAAAAACAAAAACAAAAACAAAAACAAACAAAGGAAAACCAATATCGCAGTTCAACATATCAAAGTACTAAAAAAAGTGTATACTAACAATTTTTATGTCTAATTTCATCAGTTAAAGGACAAATACAGACCTTTGAGACAAGATTAAAACAATAATCTATGTAAGCAGTCACACTTCCTCCTTACTTACTCAGCCAGGGCTTTGCCTACATTCTAGGACATTCTGAGGACGCGCTCTCATTAAAGGTAATTCTTAAAAGGTTACTGGGGAAACCACTTGCCTCCTGATGCTCATTCTTGATCATTTTACTGAGACATTTATGACAAAAGTTTTGCAACTTTTATATAAATTATGCTGACCTTAGATATTCAATTCCATTATCTACCAAGCTCACCAGAATCTGTGTCTCTGTAGGGCATACATCTTTAACTACTTTGCAACAGACTACATCTTTGTGATAACATTATCCTCATATCTTGTTCACACATATATAATCTCTATGCAGTAAAACAAAGAAAGGCTGGATCAGGGTGCCAGGGCCTTCTCTCACCTCGATTTCAGACCTTAACCAAGCTTAACATACCACCTCCTCCAGGAAGCAGTCCCTGATCACTGATCCCAAAGCAACTATTCCCTTCTAAATTGTCACAGCAATTTACTTATGCCATTTTTTAAAGTATCTATGCCCTTCTACCCTTTATTTTGTATATTAAGTACATATTAAATTATAAGAAGTTATCAGCTTCTCATGTATAAAGACTCTTACATACCTCTGCTTCTCAGAACAAACTCAATGAATGCTCATGAAATAAATAACATTGTATAATATTTACTTAGTGACTAAAAAACTATTGCATTATTGAGGCATACCTTTGGTGACTATAAAAATTACCAATCAATCAAAATGCTTATCAAAAATAATAAAATACATTCACAAAACACTCAAGTAAAATATATACCATATCCAACTGGAGGGAGGATACAGTAACCCTTGAAAGATAGATCCACAGCTATAAAAATGATTTTTACTTACTTGTCTCCAAAAAACTTTCTCCAGAATTCAGCAGCATCTGCTTTTGTGATACGAAAGTTATCTCCCTGGAATTGACCATTGGGAAAGATTGCTTTGATTTCTGCCAGCATGTGACTGAAGATAAGGGACAGTTTTGTGAGATTTCGTCTGTAGGCACAAGGGAAAAAAATGAAGATAAGAAATAAACACCTAGATGCATGCAAATTTTTATGGTAATATATATTAAGACAAACAATGTTATGTATGTATCAACGTATGTCTTGGTGGTTGATCACGAAAACCTCAACTTAATGCTGCCCTTAAAAAAAGTTTATGAAAACATTGTACATTTAAATTCCTAACAAAGCTGTCAACTTATTAGTTATCCATGTATTCATTTAACATAAACACAAATAAGATAAATTACATAATTTCACTGAGCTCACAGATTAATGGAAGAGATGGACACTTAAAAAATTAATAATCAAATATAAATGGTAAACATAAAAGAGAGAGTGACTATTTCTACCTGGGGGAGTAAGGAAAGATTTGCCATCAGAGGAGAATCTAGGAAGAAAACTCATTGTTTGACAGATAAAAGACCTGGAGAGGAGAGAAAGGGAGGATGCAGAGGGAAGTAAAAGGTATTTCAGGCAGTAGAAACAGCATGTACAAAAGTACTAATACAAAAGTATAAAATGAAAATGTATTGGTATTATATCATTTTTGGCACAGTGAAAGCAGAGCAGAGGGTAACAGGAGAAAATAACATGAGACAGAGTAAGAAACTTTAGTTGGGACATGACATAAAGAGGCATCTGAATCAATGCACAGTTTTTGTTATACATGCTTGCCACTCCTACCTAAATATCAGATTTTCTGAGGAAGGGTTCTAGATATATGCATATTTTAGAAGCTCTGTGGGCAATTCTAATGTGCTTTCCTCATTAAGAGGTACTGCTATAAGAAATGGAGAGTCAGGCTAGGTGTGGTGACTCACCCCTGTAATCCTACCACATTGGGAGGCTGAGGTGGCCAAATGGCTAGAGCCCAGAGTTTGAGACCAGCCTCGGCAACATGGCAGGACCTCATCTCTACAAAAAATAAGCAGGGCGTG
Organism: Homo sapiens; assembly: GCF_000001405.40. Lineage (NCBI taxonomy): Eukaryota > Metazoa > Chordata > Mammalia > Primates > Hominidae > Homo > Homo sapiens. The sequence goes on from NC_000003.12 coordinate 105,777,492, forward strand.
GGAGCGCATGCCTATAGCCCCAGTTATTAGGGAGGCTGATGTGATCTCTTGAGCCAGGAGGCAGAGGTTCAGTGAGACATGAACACGCCACTGCACTTCAGCATGGGTAACAGGGTGAGACAATGTCTCAAAAACAAAAAATGAAAGAGAAAAGAAATAAATGGAGAGTCAAATGGATTAATGGATTCAGAATTCTGAAGACTTGATGAAGTCTGTTTTAGAAGGAAAAAATTGTAGTAATATGACTAAATGGTTTAGAATGGAGATACAGGTGTCAGCTCTATTCTAATTTCCATGTTAAGTTCTGGGGATTCTGACAAGATTTAAACCATGCTTCATACTACAAAACAGTACTATCAATCACCTATAATCCTTGCTAACATTTCTTAAATTTTCAATATTACGTTAATCGGCATAAAACTACTAGTGTTAGATAGTTAAGAAGCAATTAAAACACAAAATACTAAATAACTTCCCCAGTTTCAAACAAACTTTATTTCTTTATATTCCCTTTTGCTCAGAATGACCAGAAATCAATAGGTACATTCTGCATATGTTTTCATTTTGAAGCTTCAGCTATTATGCATGTGTATGTGCACCTGTATATATGAGAGAGAGAGAGAGTGTGTGTGTGTGCATGTGTGTGTATGTGTGTGTGTTGGGATGTGAGTGGAGGCAAGTGTGTTAGGACTCAATAAAAATATAGAGGGAAATTAACACAGAGAAAGTCATCAAATTTGCAACATATAAAACCATACAGTGTATCAACAGACCTTTGTCATTGAAAGTTGTGTTTCTTTGCTCCATATTTACTCATGTATCTGTGTTTAATAACTGTCAAATAATAATAATAACTCATGTTTTTTACCAAGGAGATCATTTAATATGCACCTGACAATAAAATCATTGGATGACACTCTTTCTAATTTACAAAGGAGATACATAACTTCCTGTATAAGATGAATACAGAAAAAAGATACCCATGATCAAAAGTGGGAAAAGTAGTAATAAGAAGAATGCAATAAGATATTCTATAAAATCAATAAATTCATCTTCCTTAAAAAAGTTTAAAAAAAAACAGTCACCTATTTCCATAACTTATCTACGGAAAGCTTTTTGATGAAAGGGGGGAGGGCATAACATAGGCCTTATTTTAATGCTTGACCTGTACCCATAAACAATCTGGAAAATTCATTATAATATACATAAATGTTACATCATTTTATTAGATTCAGCCACTTTTGCACAACTCATCCTAATCCAAGTGTAAAATTTCTCTTAATCAGTTGAATCTTTGATATCAATATGATTTTGTCATTTATGTTAACATATCCTCAATTTAGATGATGGTAGATATAAGATATTGTTTTAAAAAATAAAAAGTAAACTGTTTTACTATATCAAAGGAAAGACTTGTGGCTCGTACAAACTACAACCGACTTTAAAGATTTGAGTTTAAGAAAAGTATAAAGTCACCTTAGGAAATCTGCAATGAATTTATTTCTATAATTGGGCTAAAGATTTAATTTTTACCAAACTTCCAATTGATACATACAAAAGAAAAATCAAAATGGCTATAATTAGGGTAAACCAACTGTTCTTTATTTTCTGAATTGGCTGCACTCCATCCCCTTGATTCTTTGTCCTTTAATCATATCCAATTTATTTTTTTAATTTTTACTTGTTAGATCTAAAGTCTGAAACACAACGCCAGTGATTACCCACCCATTCTGGGTATCTGATCCACTGGCTATGCAGACACTAAACTTTAAAAGAAACATAGTAACATTTTTTATAGTCTAGAAGCTCTAATAATCACCAGGACCTATATCAATACTCACTGATTGACTATAAAATGTGTATATGCTTCTATTTTCTTGCTTCTGCAAATGGATCACCACAATTTTATTTGGCTTTTGCACAAAATAAGGCAATGAAAAAATACATTTTGCCTTTAGTCTTGAAAGAAACTCAAGCTCATATTGTTAAAAATAGTTGAATATATATATGCATATATACATACACATTCCAGAATATATATATTTACTTTATACTTATACACTCACACACACTCCATATATATGTAAATAATCATCTTAGAAATCCATTATTTAACATATTTATAGAGGTTGCAATCGACACCAAGGTATGAAAAGAACTGACAAACTCATTCTGTTGGAGCTTAAAAGGAAAAAAAAAAGAGAAAGAGAACTGAAAACTATTCTGGTATCTAATTTCATTTAAATTTGTTATCATAGAAAATACGTTTTCTTTTTTATATGACGCTGTGACTTTTTTGTTTACAATGTTTTGCTATGTAGTATGTGCTTTCTTTATTCCCCATCCCACTATGCATCCTTTGATACCTATTTTTTTTTTGAGATGGAGTTTTGCTCTTGTTGCCCAGAATGGAGTGCAATGGTGTGATCTCGGCTCACTGCAACTTCTGCCTCCCGGGTTCAAGCAATCCTCCTGTCTCAGCCTCCCAAGTAGCTGGGATTACAGGTATGCACCACCATGCCCGTCTAACTTTGGATTTTTAGTAGAGACGGGGTTTCACCATACTGGTCAGGCTGGTCTCAAACTCCTGACCTCAGGTGATCTAACCATCTCAACCTCCTGAAGTGCTGGGGTTACAGGCATGAGACACCGTGCCCAGCCTAATACCCATTTAAAAAAAAAAAAACTTTCAATTTTGAAAATAAAACAATCCAAGAATACAGTCATCTCTAACCATCTAGACATAGGGAGAAGAAAAGAAACAATCACACATCTTTGTAGATGGAATTTTTTCTATTACGTAATTTTTCCATACTTAGCCAATCTTCCCTAAGCCCATGGGATTTCCCATCATTGTAAGACCTAAAATGATGACTGCCTAATAAAGAATCTGATACTTATGAAGAATATATTTCTGCCACTAAAACCCAAACAATCCCCAAACAACTAACTAAATAAAAATCTGCCCAGAAAGAAAAGACTCAATAATCTTACAAATGTAATTTTAATTTTAATTAATTTTACATGGAATTTTCGATATCAGTTCTTTCACTTATAAGAGAAGCTACTTATTTCCACATATATTCCATTAACCATCACATTTATTCATTTTCTTTGCATGGGATTTTGTTTGTAATAAATAATTTTACAATAAAAGTTTTGTTTTTTGTTTTTTTTTTTTTTTTTTTTGAGATGGAGTCTCGCTCTGTCACCCAGGCTAGAGTGCGGTGGCGCGATCTCGGCTCACTGCCAGCTCCACCTCCCAGGTTCATGCCATTCTCCTGCCTCAGCCTCCTGAGTAGCTGGGACTACAGGCGCCCGCCACCATGCCCAGCTAATTTTTTGTAGTTTTAGTAGAGACAGGGTTTCACCGTGTTAGCCAGGATGGTCTCAATCTCGACCTCATGATCTGCCCGCCTCGGCCTCCCAAAGTACTGGGATTATAAGGTGTGAGCCACCACGCCTGGCCAATAAAAGCATTTTAAAATACCAAATATTTTAAAATACCAAATAATCAAAAAGTAGTTGTCAACACTGGCCAAACTGCCAAAGATGTTAACATTAGAGGAGGCTTGAAGAAGAAAGAAGGAGGGAGGAATAAAAACCAAGGAGGGAGAAGAGCTACATTAAAAAGAGAGAGAGATGTGAAATGAATCCACAACGTCATCATCTAAGCAACAAGGTACCTCTTCATCCTGGATTCTGTCACCTATATCATATTTCTTTAAAATGGTATGAATCAATTTCTCCAAATGTCAAGTTACATTGCAGGGATTCAACTAGAATGTGGATTTGAACTAGAGTGAATTAGCATGCTGACTCTGTTGGAATGATGGAGCTTCACCGTTTATAAACAAGTCTTAACAGTTTAAGGTTGCTACGGTCAACATCATAAGCACAAAGGAAGCATATAATGCTTGATGGAGGATGGCACAATGCTACCCTTAATGAATATCATATAGTATGAAACAAAAAAACATGAAGAGATCATCATAATACAATGTGGTAGGAGTAATCTGCTCTAATTATAGCCATCTTGACTTGATGAATTAAATGAATAAATAAATAAAAGAAATAGAAAATATATCAAGATTTGATTAGTGGCCTCCACTAAATGCAGGAGACTCACACAAAGAATGTAATCTAATTAGATTGCATGTAGTCCTTGAGTTTTTTCTATTCAAGAAACAGCTGTGTTATAAATCAAGGAGGAAATAAAAAGCTTTAAATGCTGAATTAGTAAAAACTTTAAATGACCATTTTCAGTGAGGTGAAAAGTCTGTGAGGATGTGCTGCTTTTGGTAGAAGAAATGGGAGGTGATACTTTTACCCAAAAACTATTAATAATTCAATTCTCACATTTAAAAGCTAGAACATGCTCTTCTTAATTTTACAAGGTGAAACAAACTCAATATAAAAAGAAAGGCAAGACATAAAGAATATAAACAGTGGTGCTTAAAATGAAACTCACATCCAGCTAAAGAGCAATTTCCACTGTATTTCTGATGTACTGCCCTCCAAAATGGGTTCAGAGACTTACTTCACACTGTTTCTGACCTTAGGAATGTTGTGATTCCTAAGTGAGGAGACTAGGCTGATGTAAGCCTTGCCTTTCATTTTTCTCTCATGGGAATAGATACTACTATTGAGATGGGTCCTGACAGTCTTAAATAAAACTGGATCCTTACCCATTCCCCCTGCCCAAATGCTTTAAAGTTTTAAATGTGTCTAAGGAGAGTACACAACAGACATTAAAAGTTCAAATACCAATAAAGACTGAATCTACCCAAAGTCATAAGAGAAGTCAGCAGTGCGCCTAGGAACAACCTAAACTGAAACACAGGCAGGACAATTTTTCAACTTGCTCCATTTTACTTTTTGGATACTAAACTGATCACTTTAAAAGAAATTTAGCAAACTAATTCCAAAAAACTACACTGAACTGGCAACTAAAGGAAGATCTTACATTTCCTTTGTTAAACACCTCATCCACCACTAGCACAGCTAGGGAGGTTACACCCAAAATTCTGACTGGGAGAGGTAACTTTGGGCATTCTTTGATCTCTCTGTAGTATTCTTTTCTTTTCTTTTTTTTTTTTTTTTTTTTTTTTTGATACAGAGTCTCACTCTATTGCCCAGGCTGGAATGCAGTGGCCCTATTCTAGGCTAACAGCAACCTCCACCTCATGGGTTCAAGCGATTCTCGTGTCTCAGCCTCCAGAGGGTGTATGCCACCACACCTGGCTAATTTTTGTACTTTAGTAGAGAAGGGGTTTCTCCATGTTGGCCAGGCTGGTTTGGAACTCCTGACCTCAAGTGATCTGCCCACCTCGGCCTCCCAAAGTGCTGGGATTACAGGCGTGAGCCAACTGAGCCCGGCCTGTGGTATTCTTTCCAACATGTTATCTACGAAGTTTTATTAACAGCAAGAAGCTATCCCTCAAAATAAGGATGCTCTTCACAGGACAAATATATTTGCTTTCTAAAATAAATATATTTAAATGGACAACTTACAAATGCCTTACTTAAAACATGAAATAACATGCCAGCCTATGATGCTCAATGTAATATCCTTTGAGAAGCTTCCACAAGATATTCAAAATATATTCTGATTAATTTTTCTAGTATCTTACATATTGACGAGTTTGGTCCTTAAGTTTGTTAGTACTGGCTTAATATCCTTAGCCTGTTTAAAGATAAAGAAAAGGTTACTTAACCTGTTTCCTCATTTCTAAAAATTTTGAATAAAAATACATAAGACATGTAGGTAAGACCCTGATGCATCTAATTTTTTGAAAACCTTCAATAAGTAAGTTATTTATCATTAATTCTACTTACCACTTGTTTAAAATTATAAATATTTATCACAGTAGCATTTCTTCTTTTTCCATATAACTATCATCCAATAAACTGATGGCTCTCTTACTAAGGTAAGAGAATCATATTCTCACATTATTAAGATCATCAATTATCATGATGGCCTTGTACAATTCAGAAACAGCAAACAATGGGCAAGTATTTGATACAGTCATTTAGTCATTTATTCTTCAAATCTCTGAGTGCCTATTATACGCCAGGCTTAGTCTAGGCACTGATATTACAAAGATGAAGATGACAGAATCCTATACCCAATGAATTTAAGGGATTTAGAGAGCTCCAAAGATAAAGAACAATGCAGTGGGAATAAAGCTGAGATGGAACCAGAAAAAGAGGGCAATCAGAAGAGAGAGAGTGTGTTTAAAATTTCCAGGGTGATGCAGTTCTGGCCAAAATGCAGCTAGTCCTGCAACTGGTAGCTACAGCAGAGTGAAGGTGAATTAGGCCAGGAATTGGACAGTTTGAGGGTTGAATGGGGTCATTCACATGGATTTTGAAACCTCCTGGAATTGTAACAGCAGTATGCATGAAGAGAAGGACTACAATAAACCTTATCTCAATATATTCAATAAAGCTTCCCAAATGATTTTTTTAATGTCAGTTATTTTAACTTTGCATTAATGCTAAAGCAGGATTAACATCTCTTTGATGATTTCAACAAATGGTTTTAATCCGGAAAATCTATTATGAAAACCTACTACAGTATAAATATGACCACTCATACTTTCATTTGGTTTAAAAGCTTAACAATATATATTTCAATAAGGAAAACTCTTTATCTTTAGTATTGAACTTCTTTTGATGAAACCTAATATGTAACAAGTATCCTTTTGTAAAATAAACCTTTAAAATGTAGACCACTCCATTGAGACAAAAAAGAAAAAATAATCCATTCTTTCATTCCTTTACGATAAAACACAATGAAAGTTCTGTAAACACAATGGAAAATCATGATTGCTATGAGATTCATACAGAAGTAACCAGAACATAGCAGAACTTTTTCTTTGATTATTTTTCAAAAGAAAAAGAAACATTAGAAATGTTGGAAATTCAAACTATACTTTTATGACCTAGAGTTATGTGATAAAAGACCAGTTTCATCAACAAGCAAAATAAACTTGACATTGAAACAACAGTAGTAACAAATTTTTTAAACAAATCTACATTAAGTTTCTTATTATTTGCTATTCCCAGTAGTCTATCATAAAACAGTGAAGTGGCAATCTGAATGGAGTCAATTAATCCATATTTATTGCTTCTGATCCTCCACCTTAATTTTAAACACATGGCTCAAAAAGACATAATTGATCAGTTTTTTTTCCAAGTTCTACCCCAAACCCAGCAGGAAAATCCTATTTCTACTTGTTACACCATTTTTATCACTTTTGACAAATCAAGGATGGCTTTTGTCTTGTTTTTACTCAATAGAATATAGTTAGAAACTCCTCAAGTATTTCTAGTGTCCTTTCCACCATTTCTCACACTACTTCTGTTTTCTCCCCAAGCTATCCAAATGGTCTGCTTTCCGTGAGTTAAGCCATTCGTTCACCCTACTCTGATACAATGTTTCTATGTCTCAGCCTGTTGAATTCTCAAATGCACCAGCTTTACGTCAAAATACCCACATGGAATCTTTTCCCTACCCCTTCCCATATGTGACATGCCACAACACTTTATCTGCCAGGGCACAAAGGTTTCCTTGAAGGGCACCATGGTTATTTTACATAGATATTGTGTTTCAGCTCTATCAGCGCACATCTTTGTTAGAGAAGAAAAAGTCTTACACCTGTAACAACTTCTTAAAATAGCTATCAAATAAAAGTTTGTTAATTTCAAAGATTATAAAAAATATTTTTAAACTATAAGGAATAATTTGCTGACCCCAAAACTGTGCTAATGAACAGACAGATAGGAATAGCCTATAAAATTAGTTTACAGAAAATAATTTTTAACCAAAACCCACTTTAACAGAGAATTACAACTCTGAAGTTTGACTTTCAATTAGAAAAATATCTTTACTCTGTGAGTTCTGAGACCTTTTATTTTCTCTCATTTTTTTTCTTTCTTCATGAATGGTAAAACAGAATACCAACAAGACAAAGGAAATTAATGCTATATCCCTCATGTGCAGTTTCCAGAAACTCAAGTAAATGTAACATATTTGTCATACTTTCTGAGGAAGCATAACATAGTTTCCCGTCACACTAATTGTTCCCTGACAGTTCCTTCCTTCTTCTGGCTCTGGAAATTTTCCTTATTGATACCTGTGTCTCATTTCAATACTGTTCTTTTGGAATAGGACAAGTAAAATACAAATGAACCAAAGGAGGAAAAAAGTCATCTCTCTGGTGCTTATGTCGTGCAATACTAACAGAGAAAACTAAAATCATGAGATTTTTTCTACCTCTTCCCCAGGATTAAAATTATCTTTATTCAGTATGTGCAAATATAAAGATAAAAACAAACACAAATTTGCCAAGCAATTCCCACTCATTTTAGCCATGATCTGATATAGATACCTCATAGAAAACTGGGAACCAGTGGTAGTGCAAGTGCATATCAAGTGCCCCAGATATGCCTTCTCCGTTTGAAAGCCAACACAGACTGGTTGCCAGTGGGGCCCTTTGAAGGATGGGAGACATTGCAGTGAGTCTGGAAATCTATTCTCACACATAACACTGTGTGAGAGGATCGGGGGGGGGAAAGTGGGTAAAATGAAAGTGTAGAGTGAAAAAGGCAGGGTAATCGATACTATGCTCAGTACAATCTTAGTTCTATTAAATTAAAAGGCTATAAATACCACATTATAGATGATGTGTTGTAAATAGGAAAACAAATACAGGATATACACAAAAAGGCATTATCAATAGTAACCTCTGGTTAGTAGAATTACTATGGTTTTTCTTTCTTTTATTCTTTAAATTGCCCTATTTTCAGTAAGAAACAAAAATGTCATTAAAAAGCCATTATATTGATGTTCTCTGATAAACCTGAGATGTGCCTACTGGAGACAGAATAGATTTCCAGACTCACTGCAATGTCTCCGGTACTCTGAAAGGCTCCACTGGCAACCACGCTGCTTCGGCTTTCAAACGGAGAAGGCATCTCTGGGGCACTCAAGCCAAACCACTTGCATGACCATTGATTACCAATCTTCTAAAAAGTGTTAGTCCTTCCCCCATAGTACATTCACAAATGGCACACCAGTATTTTTTCCATATCCTTCCCCAAAAGAAAAACCTCTTAGTTCTAATTTCATATCTTTAAAATAAAAACCAGACAACAGAAAGCTCAAACACTTAAATCCACAGTCTAAAATTGCTTTAAACAGAAGGAGGGGTCTGGATCCTTAAATCTAGTTCATGATTTATCTCCTTCCTTTATAATAGTCTCCTAAAAAATGCAACTAAAACTAAATTATTATTAGGAGCAAGAAATCTCAGAATAGTTATATAGATAAATTAGCACATCACATGTGTTCTTTGTCATATAACGTCATGAAAGAAATGGTATAGCTGAACCCAACCAGATGATTCAATTAACTCCATTTTACTTCCATTTATTAGATATATGATATGTCTTAATATGCATGATAACAGTTCAAGAGAACACTAATTTAGATGTCAATGGTCTCACAGAAAAATCCTGTCTTTTTAAAGCATTGAGACTATGCCAGGTAGTTTTTTTCTTTCAAAATGAAAAATAAAAAGTAATCACAGAAAAACATGGCTGTAATAACCTACTAGTTCTCAGCAGTACAATTTCCCTGAACCACTATAGAAGTCTTAAACTTTCTGAATACAATGACGACTAAGCATTTTTTAAAGGTCTCAGACTTTCACAAATGCAAAAGTTAAGCTGGATTTAACTTATTCTACAGCTGAGTGGTGGTGACAGGACCTTCTTGGATACTTGGTTTACATTTCTAATAACAAGGCTAATTAAGGAAATACTGGGATACAGTGGAAGAAAACACAGTGCTGACAGACCAGGTTTCTAGACACAACTCTGCCCTTCACACTATTCCATGATATGAACAAGAGTGAAAGCTTCTCTTATCTAAACCTTCTTCTATAAAACCAGGGGGTTGTGGTACATACGTTCTATGGCCCCATAACATTCTATGGGGCTATCTACCACTTTTATTCTGATCAGCAGGAGACTAGATAACTCTGGCGCTAAAATGTCTATATGCTTTAAGCAAAAACTGTGAATCCATTTCACAACTTACAGCTAACATGAAAGTACAATAGGCTATATGATATTTTCAACTTACAGACTTTCCTCAATATGCCTCAGTCTTAGACTGAAGAAATCCTGAAGGCAGTATGCCAAGAATCTAACATAGAAAACTCAAATTACCATAAGCATAAAAACTTTCAATTAGTATATTTGAAAGCCTTGACTTTTATTTTGTTCTTTACCATCACAGGCATTACTGACATTTCTTTTTTTCTTTTTTTAACAATGAAAACTCCATGAATAACATGGCCCTCAAAACAAAGAAAACCACAAAGCAGCAGAAATAATTTTTAAAAAGGCAATTTAAAATCTGTGTTTCATGTTAATGAATAGTAAACACTAGAACACTGAAACCATATGAAAAATATAAATTGTAGTAGAATGGAATATGCCCACTGGGAAACTTATGGTTTAAGAAGCTGACTTATTTATTTGCTCTTGGTGAGGCAATGTGCTAATATTTGTAGTAGACGCAGGATAACATCAGATGTAAAAATTTTACCTTTCATATCACCCAACAACTCAGAAATTTCCAAATTTGGAGAGACTGCTACTTTTACCACATGATGGCTCCTCAATAATGTGATCCAAATATCTTTATAATCTCACTGACTGCAAAGACAATTATCCCGCCACATAAATAAAACTTCCTCAGATATTGGCTTTGGAGCAGAAGGACAAATTTATCTGCCTATACCATTGAAGGTAATATATTACAACGGTGAAAAGCTCCAGCTCTAAAGTAAAAAAAAAAGCAGGAGTGTCCAATCTTTTGGTTTCCTTGGGCCACATGTAAAATACACTAACACTAACAATAGCTGATGAGCTTAAAAAAAGAAGTCACAAAAAAAATCTCATAATGTTTTAAGAAAGTTTACGAATTTGTGTTGAGCTACATTCAAAGCTGTACTGGGCCAGGTCACGGGTTGGACAAGCTTGCTCTAAAGCTTAAGGTACTTAGTAACTAGATGACCTCGGACACTGACTTAACCTCTTCAAGTCTCAGTCTTCTGATCCCTAAAACATACATTGTAAAAGTACTTAGCTAATTTTGTAAAGGATTGAGTACTTAGCTCAATCTGTAAAAAATTAAAAATGGCCACAAAATCTTTGGCACTCTTCCCAACACAGGGGAGTCTATTTCCCTCCCCTTTTACTGAAGTAGCCTGTGACTTGCTTTACTCAATAGAATGTGGTAGAAATGACGCTACATAAATTTTTGAGGCTAGGCATTACAAAGTTTGGCAGTTTCTGCCTCTGCCTCTTTAAAAATGCTCTTGCGTTTAGCTGCCATGTTCTGAGGAAGTCCAAGAAATCACGTAGAAAGACCCAAGTATGTTCCCAGCTGCCAAGTACCAAATGCTAGGCATGACAGTAAAGCCACTGGACCTTCCAGCTGAACTAGCATCCCAACCAACATTATATGAAGCAGAAAAAACATTCGGTAAACCCACAAAACCATGACAAATAATAATTGCTGTTAAATCAAGCCACGAAATTTTGGGGTGGTTTGCTATACAGCAATAAATAATTAGCTTAGAAAACTGATAAAGAGTATGCATTCAATAATGTTAATTGTTATTAGCACTATTAGAGCTACCAATCTACTACTATTATCACGATACTCAATTCTAGCACTTGAAAGGATAGGGCTCTTTTCTCTCTGAGAATAGAAATGAGTGATGAAGCTGGGTAGAAAGTATCAAACATCTTATTTAAGAATTTTATTCTTGTTAAACAAAGTAGTTTTTACATTAAAAATTATAAATTTTACAAGTTCTGTATTTTCTCTGATAAAAAAACCAACCAGGGAACGTTTTTAGAAAAAATTTGTACTATCCTATTTGGAAAGCAGCATACCCAGATTTGAATCAGAAGGAATTTACTGCAATTAATTCCCAAAACGTATTTACTTAGATAACCACACAATGAACTGAACTGTGAAAATACCATTAAGCTAATCCACTGATTTCTACTGACAATAGACTTAATTTCTACAAGTTTTAAGTTCTCAAAGGTAGAAAAACCCCTGACATTGTATGTGGTAAAATGTAAGCAAAGACATAGAATGTTTATAGACCTAACAGCAGTGTCTTTTAATTACGCTGCCATTTAAATTATGTGTTTTCTGAAGACAATTTAACATAACTAGATTTGACATATGTCTAGATAAGAAATCATCCTGGATATTGGCTTGTCTAGTTCTATTCAATGGGGTCTCTGTTTAAAAGTCAAGCACTATTAATAATCCTACTTATTAACACTAAAGATACATACTGATTTTTTTAGCGTAATTCTTTCGGCATCCAGCTGTACCTGACCTTTCATTACAATACTTTTAAGAAGATATTTAAAAATATTGCTTAACAGATCACTGTACCTGTCTACCTGTGTAAATGTTATTAGTGAAATGGTTATTCAATAGATGCACTGCTATACCCAAGACTTGCAGGACTTAATCTATATGGTAAGCACCAGAATCAACCATTATTTCTCTCTGAAGATACTGATTATTTTGTCGTAATAAAAATAAGAAAATAATTTTAAAAACAAATTTTAATATTTCTGTTAAACATCAAAATGATAGGAAGATTGTATACTTTTTTAAAATGATTTCTTGCTTAATTATTTCTTAAGGAATTAAATATTAAAATAGAGGAAAAAGTGCTACAAATAATCCACAAAGATCAGGCTGCAAAGCAGCACTAGAAAATCTTTACATTTTCTTACACATCTTACTCATGTCACAGCTTGCTGCTTCTTTGTCTACAAGTATAGCTTACTTACACAACTATCAGTTTTCCCTGTTTTCAGATTGATTTTATATGCATGAAAATTATAATCAACATATATGGAGTTCCATCGACTTTAATAAAGTTTATTCACTCAATGAACCTTTTTTGAGGACCTGCTAAAATCTGCCACTACATTAGGTAATGGAAATATAAGATAAAGACCAGTTCAGTCCTTGCTTTCTGGGAGTCGACAGTCTAGTGGTTACTTAGATATAAAAACACACAATTACATACACTCTAACTGTACAACTAAGGTCATTCAAGGTGCTTCCAAAACACAGGAACTAAAGAGAGGTGTTCAACTCTGTTAAGAGGAGCAGAGCAAATGCAGAAGAACGTGCCAGGCAACAAGCCTGGCAGATGAAGGCATACAGATGTAGACCAGTATGGCAATATGACAGACTACAGGGATAGAAGTGATGTGTATTCAGGAAAGAGGCTGATAGGGGAGCAAGAACACATCATAGATAGGACCCTGCCTCCCCATCCAGGCTGCCCACTGCACCAGCACAGGACCCCTTCTATCCATGCTGCTCAGGAATTCAGAGGTCTGCATGTGCAACCATGCTTCCACCAGGGAGAACTGCATGAGTGGGGAGTTCAAAACAGAAAACCACTTTCAATAATACGTTATCACCAGGCATAATTTAATCATTAGGAATTCTTAGATTTTTACCCAAATTTAAAAGATCTGTTGAAGATTTCTCTGTTGTAAGATAACAAATGAGCTAGGAGCGTTTCTTCCCTGTATCCTTATGAAATATAATCTAGATTTAACAAATTGAGAAAACAAGCAAAAGAAAACAATAGTGCACAGAGAAGAATGCACCAGAAGCCTATGTCTTAGAAGCAGATGTTCTACTTTGGCGGAGTCTCAGCCCCTGGTGTATTAACCGTTTGAAACACATTCAGAAATCACACTGTTGATGTACTTCTGAAAAGATGTGTTTCTCTTTCAAAATACCACAGTTAATTCCCTCACTTCCAGAAATGATTCATCTGATAAATATTTAGTGTAGTAAAGAAATATATCCTTTATTCATGATCTAAAATAGAATACTGAGCGAATATGGCAAACTCAAAACACATATTATCAATAACCAATCAAATACCATGCCACCCACTGACGTTGTCTTAGGTAATTCTCTTGATAAAGAGACTCCTAGCAGCTCTCAAGAATAAATCCCACTTGATTCTATGGACTACACTGAAATCCGTTCTTTTAAAATGGACTGAAGTTAAGCATTACATTTTTCCATTAAGTTTTATGGAGCAAGATAAATTTCCTGTGTCAAAATTTGTCACAAAAATCTGTTTTCCAGACATCTGGTGTCACACATACATGAATACAGTACCACATGGGGATATCTGTAAATAGCAATGGGTGGCCTAGCATTTGGTTTCTGATCAGCATTTATTTCCATTATGTTAGTTGGTGAGTTTAATTTGGATTTTATTAATATCTATTTTTATCACGTACATTCCATAATATTTTATATATGCCACAAGGAATAATACAATATCTTGTTTACAGCATTTTCATATTTAAGTGTAAAGAAGGAAAAACTACACGGAGTGGTGAATCTTAATTTGAATTTTATTTAAATAAGTGTCTAATAATGGCACTCAAAATTTGGTCCTTAGACCATCAGCATAGCAATTACCTCAGAGCTTGTTAAAAATGCAGAATCTCAGGTCCCACCCCAGAATTGCTGACTCAGAATATATACTTTAATAAGATCCCCAGGTGATTCTTATGCAAGTTTAATGTCTGAAAGCACTGGTTTAGCAGGACCCTCAAAAGATCCTTTATTTTTCATTGCTCTGCCTCTAGGTAAAACTACATCTAAAGCATCTTCAAGATCTCAGTACTTACTTAAAGATTTGTGAAAGCAATTCCTCTCTGTTGTCCCAAACCACATATCTATCAGTCAGTCCCTCCCAAGTGGGGAGGCTGCTAACGTCACTACTGGACTGGAGCATCATTGTTTTAGAGTGAGTTAGCTTCTCTCTCAGGTCAGACCTCAAGGGCAACTACTTATGGGACTTTCATTTGTCATCCCTCTTGCTCAATAACCCTGAAGTACTCATCCCCTAGTCTTTGACAGCCCAGTCCTGGGACAGCGTGTACTTTTCACATTTGTAAATATCAACATCAGACTGATAATTCCCTCATCACCACACCCCAGTCCACCCCCACATTTCTATCCTGGGAGAAAAATTAAATTCTTCCGATGGGTCAACAGACTGCCAAAGGTCAGAAAGAGGGCGGCTCTTTCCTTGCTTCCTCCCACTACAAGAAATGGAAGAGGACCAGGCACATCACAAGTTCAGTCTAAGTGTGACTCACCTCTGCCTAATTCGAGAAAGGAGCAAATTAGTTCCTCCCTCAATAATCTCCATCAATCACCATTAACCTCTGAGATTCCTAAATGCAAACAATCCATCTGCGGTGTCTAGTTCTATCCTTAAGGTCAGGAAAGGAGGAAACAAATTTAAAAAGGTAAGACCAACCAGTAAAGAAATAAAAAAGTATTTTCTCCAAATGCACCACTAAGATGCTTTATCCTCTGGAACTGATTTTTCCTCCTCTTATGTATCTCCTTGTAACTTAATAATTAAAGAGCAATCAGGGCCTCCCCTGATTGCTTCCACCAGCATAAATATCCTTGGAAAATGTCAGTCGAGCACTGTTAACTTATTTTGTCCTGAGAACCTCTAATCAAAAGAGAAAGATCTTGACACAGTCTGTGGTGGGATGTTGAATGCAACATCACAGAACAAGGCCAGAGAGTGATTTGAAAGGAGCAGCTGCAGAATCCTACAGGAAATGCCGCTACATTCTGGTACCTGAGAGAAGGAAAGTGAAAGGCAGAACTCTTGGTGGAGCACACAAGCATGCCCAGCACTCTCTGGGAAGCTGGCCCTGGAGTAATAAGCCAAGGGTAAAATGAACTAAGGGGCTCTGAAAAGCTGGGATGCAGGAAGCAAGTCTTTTCATAAGGAACTGATGGAGGAAGGTGTTCCTTCCATAAACCTCTGGTTTCCAGATGCTTTAAGAGATGCTAAAATGTTTAACAAAAAAAAAAAAAAAAAGGAAGGGGGAGGGATTGACATAGGACTCTTATTTAGTTCATCAAATAACACCATTAACACAAAATCTATTATTTACCTGTCATTAATATTTTCACACAAGAAGAACAAGGAAAAGAATCTCAGGAAAAAAAAAGTATCCATTTAAATGAAATAAACTGAATTTCATGAAAGATTCACTAAAATGCCTATTATAACTTCCAGTTCCACGTCACAAATGGGTGCTAAGGAACTCATCAGGAGCAACTCTCAGGAAAATCCGAGGTGTAGCTGTTCCACTTTGCAGTACATCCACATGCCTCTAATCACAGGTGAAGAACAACTCAATATACACTACAAACTTTGAAAAAGAAATGCAAAAAAGGGTGACAAAGAAGCTTCTTACAAAAATAAATTAAATATGGCCTGCTAATAACTAGTTATTCATCTATGAATATGAAGTATGAAAATATTAGCTCATTATTTTCCAACTCTGAAAATAACTTGCAAATAGAGTTTATATATGGGAAAAGGCCAAGAGAAAAAGAATGAATTATTAAAATATACCCATGCAACACTAAAAATAAGACTGATGATGCCCATCTGACTCAATGAACTCAACTGAAAATGTAACACAAAATACAAAGATTTATTTGGGCATAAAATTCCCGGTCATCAAATTACTTAACAGTAAGTAATACACTTGTAGTGCTTTAATTTAATTATGAATATTTTCTGTGAAATTTCTTGACAACTGTTACCATGTAAAGAAAAAAACTGTTATTTTAATATCGGTCTTATGTGAACTAGCCTATTACTAAAAGTCAGGCTTGCTACTGAAAAATCCAAATAGATTTCTGCCTAACCTAATACTACTTAATTACTGTAAAAAAGATACAATCTGACATTAACCTTACGGAGCAGTTTGTTTCCCCAGAGTCAGCAGCATATTTTTAAAAAGCATACTTCTGTAACAGTCTTTTAGGATATTTTGAAATAATCACAGAATTGTACAGATGGAAGTCACCTCAGAGATCATTTATTAATTTCGATCTTACTTATAAAGGTGAAACTGCAAACCTAAAGCTGTGACAGACCCAATGTCACAAACCAACTAGGGGCTAGAATTGAGTCTTTGAACTACAAGTTCCACTGAAACTATGCGTACCTTATCGTATTATCCCCAATACAAGTAGGCAAGACGTTCTTGTGAGCTAAACAATTAACAAGCCACAACTCATTATTAAATGACTAAAAAATGTTAATAACAGATACCACATAAATACATAAAACTACATTTAAAAATATATACATACATTCTACCAAAACAGAGTATATACATACCCAACAACCCAGCAATCTTACTCCACATATCCAGAAGAAATGCATGCATATATGCACCAAAAGACATGCACAGAACCTTCTTTTGAATAATGGCAACTTTTTTTTTTTTTTTTGAGATGGAGTCTCACTCTGTCGCCGGGCTGGAGTGCAGTGGCGCTAACTCAGCTCACTGCAATCTGTCTCCCGGGTTCAAGAGATTCCCCTGCCTCAGCCTCCCAAGTAGCTGGGACTACAGACACGCACCACCACGCCCGGCTAATTTTTTGTATTTTAGTAGAGACAGGGTTTCACCATGTTGGCCAGGATGGTCCAGATCTGCTGACCTTGTGATCTGCCCAACTCGGCCTCCGAAAGTGCTGGGATTACAGGCGTGAGCCAATGGCAACATTATTCAAAACAAATGTCCATCAATAAGCAGATCAATTATGAACCAGTCACAAACTAGAAACCTAAACAGCAGTGAAAATTAACAAAGTACAACAATATGCAGCAATAAGGATGAATCTCACCATCATAATGTTGATCGAAAGAAACCAAAAACACAAGTATACATCATATAATTTCCTTTATCTAAGAAACAGATACTTAGTTAGATATGTGGAAATATTACATATTAATGACTATAAATATGCATAAATATGTGGATAGATATATGTTGAGTATGTGTGTATAAAATGTATTTATTTCCCCCTTATTCTCTGGATAAAGAAGAAAGAGACTTCTGCACCCTTAACATTAACTCCTTGAAACACAAGCTCATGACCACAGGAGAGGAACCTCTACTTTCTGTCAAAACTTGTCGCCCAAAGCTCAATGTGAAATAGCCGAAGTCCATGAACTGAGGCTAATATCAGAAAGTTGGCTTATGGTTTTTTGTTTTTCATCTTTTATGGTGAATACCATAACACTGTGATTTGTTTGTTTTTGTTTTTGTTTTTTTGAGACTGAGTCTTGCTCTGTCGCCCAGGCTGGAGTGCAGTGGCGCCATCTCGGCTCACTGCAACCTCTGCCTCCCGGGTTCAAGCAATTCTCCTGCCTCAGCCTCCCGAGTAGCTGGGTCTGCAGGTGCCCACCAACATGCCTGGTTAATTTTTGTATTTTTAGTAGAGACAGGCTTGTCTCTAACTCCTGACCTTGTGATCCACCCACCTCGGCCTCCCAAAGTGCTGGGATTACAGGAGTGAGCCACTATGCCAGGCCAACACCGTGATTTTTTAAAAATTTATCTTCCTTCCACAATGACATTCTTCACAGAATTAGAAAAAAATCTATTTTAAAATTCATATGCAATCAAAAAAGAGCCCAAGTAGCCAGAGCAATCCTAAGCAAAAACAACAAAGCTAGAGACATCACAATACCTGACTTCAAACTATATTACAGGGCTATAGTAACCAAAACAGCATGGTACTGGTACAAAAATAGATACAAAGGCCAATGGAACAGAATAGACAGCCCAGAAATAGTACCTCACACCTACAACCATCTGATCTTTGACAAAGTTGACAAAAACAAGCAATGGAGAAAGAACTTCCCATTCAATAAATGGGTGCTAGGCAAACTGGCTAGCATGCAGAAGATTGAAACTAGACCCTTTCCCTTACACCATACATAAAAATCAACTCATGAGGATTAAAGACTTAAATGTAAAACCCAAAACTACAAAAGTGTGGATGATAACCTAGGAAATACCATTCTGGACATAGGACTTAGCAAAGATTTCATGAAGAAGATGCCAAAAGCAATTGCAACAAAAATAAAAATTGACAAATGGGACTTAATTAAAGAGCTTCTGCACAGCAAAAGAAACTATCAACAGAGTAAACAGACAACCTACAGAATGGGAGAAAATATTTGCAAACTACATATGTGGCAAAAGTCTAATATCCAGAATCCATAAGGAACTTAAATTTACAAGCAAAAAACAACCCCATTAAAAAGTGGGCAAAGAACATGAACAAACGCTTTTCCAAAGAAGACATACATGCAACCAACAAGCATAGGAAAAAATGTTCATCACTAATCATTAGAGAAATGCAAATCAAAACCACAATGGGAACCATCTCACAGCACTCAGAATGGCTATTATTGAAAAGTCAAAAAATAACAGGTGCTGGGAAGGGAATCTTATACACTGCTGAGAAAAGGGAACACTTATACACTGCTGGTAGGAGTGTAAATTAGTTCAGCCACTGTGAAAGCAATCTTGATTACTCAAAGTACTTAAAACAGAATTACCATTCCACCCAGCAATTCCATTATTGTGTATATACCCAAAGGAATATAAATCATTCTACGATAAAGACACGTGAACGTATATGTTTACTGCAGCATTATTCACAATAGCAAAGACATGGAATCAACCTAAATGCCATCAATGGTAGACTGGATAAAGACAGTGTGGTACATATACACCATGGAATACTACACGTCATAAAAAAGAATGAGGTCATGTTCTTTGCAGCAACATGGATGGAGCTGGAGGCCATTATCTGAAGCAAACTAATGTAGGAGCAAAAAACCAAATACCATATATCCTCTTGTTTAGCTCTCACTTGATGTTTAGTTCTCTCCAAGAACACATGGACACAAAGAGGGGAACAACAGACACCAGGGGCTACTTGAGGGTGAAGGGCAGGAGGAGAGAGAGGATCAAAAAACTACCCATGGGGAACTATGCTTATTACCTGGGTGATGAAATAATCTGTACACCAAACCCCCATGACATGTAGTTTACCTGTATAACAAACCTACATATTTACTCCTGAACCTAAAATAAAGGTTAAAAGACAGAGAAAGAGAAAGAAAAATCTAACCACCAAGTTTACATAATAAATTCTGGACTTCAATAAATATTCAGTTGTCCAATAAAATGCTTTTGAATTTCTGATGGCATGTACAACAATGTAGGTAACATTAGACTTGATTTAAGTTTGTAATTTAATTCAAATTTGTAATGTGATTCAGACATCAGGGCAATTTGCTTTTCATGGGTGTGAATTTCTCTTCCATGAGCATCCCCTTATTCTGCCCATCAAAGTAGAAAGGAGAATAATGAGAAGTGGAAGCTCTATCCTTTTGATTAACCTGCTCAAGCTCAAGAGCAAGGCAGTTTCCCCTGGTTTTACCCATTACAACGGTAGAAGCACTGCAAGGGCCAGTCACTGAGCTGTGCTCAGGAGCCATATGAAGGGCAGATGCAGAGCAACTTACCTTGGCCATTCCAAATTTTAAATTGACATACATTATCAGAAGTAGGAACACATTTAGTTTTTGTAAGAGACAAGCTAACGTACAAAATATTCTCAGCAAATGGCAAAACATATCTACTTTTCAACAATTCTTCTTTAAAATTATATTGAACGAAGAGATATAAAGTCCTAGTTAATTCCTTTTCTAAAATGGAGTTTTAAAAAACAGGTATCTCACAAGACTGTTTCACTTCTGCCCATTTGAATGTATTACTTATTCAAATGTTGAAATAAATTAAAATTTTAAAATAAAATAAATATTATCAGTAGATTAATTAAAGGTTTCTGTTTTTTGTTTTCTCTTTGAAATAAGACAGAAACACATGAGGTCCAGCAATAACTTATTTCCTTCAAAGTTTCATTAAATAATGATTAAATCTAGCCCTATCTAGAGATTAGAAATGTTGGCACGTTACATTATAACCACTCAGAGAAATATAAGGCATTATCTTCCCTTACAAATCATTAACAAAAACATCTGATCATACAGACCACAACAGAAATAGAAATGCTATCAGTGATCACACTGTTTGGTGGTAAGACAGGATGAATGGAGATTTAAGTCTGTTTTTCCTCCCCATCTTTAGTCAGAACCAGATGTTAAATATTGAGACTGGGGGTAGGGGAAGTAAACTTCCTCTTTTAAAACCCAAGAGCTACTCTTTTTTTTCCCCTTTGCTGCTTATTTTGAGTGACATGCATTTATGCAAACACAAGATTTTCTGCAAGATTTTCAATGAAAAGCTGCAGCCTAGATGTCAAAATCTCCTAACTGCCTGCCTTATATGTGTGTGAGACAGAGGGGGTCAGGCATTATGCTGTTGTTCTGGATGGCAGGAGCATCACAGAGAAAGACAAAAGGTGACTAATTAAGTTGGACTCCAGAACAGTAAAGGGTCTTGTTTCTTTTAAAAGAAATATCAATACTGATTAAAAGTTAAGATGAGATCTCAAGGATGACAATTAGTTGCTAATCCTTCAAGATCTAACAAAGTATCTAGATGGAAAAATGAAATGTTTAACAATGACCAGAATAATAAAAATAGAAATGGGAAAATAATGAATAGCAGTGAGAGAAAGAAACACATGGTAAATAATGACAAAGAACAAAAAAAAAAAAAAAAAGAAATCCCTGCAGTTAAGAAAATGAAGAAAAAAGTAAAAACATTAAGAGGGTATTATCAAAATAAAAAAGCAAATTAGCAAAACAAAGGGCAGGAAAAAACAAACAAGGATATTTTGGGTAGACGTTATGTAAGAGAACATTAGAGCATGGAAAAGCTACTTTTCAGCTATCTTTACATTTTTATTAACTACATAAATAGGCACAATTAGTACCATTTGTTAAATAGATGAGGCAACAGTTGCATCATGAAGTGTGTTTCAGTGCCTTTCATATAAAGTTATTCTATGCACAACTGGAAAACACCCGCATAACAAGCATTAAAAAGGCATTTCACCATTTTGATTTGCAACATAACGTTTGTGCTGTTATCTCTGGATGATAAGATTACATACAAGTGATTTTTTTATTTATACTCATATATTTCCAAAATTTCTATAATATTCACCCTATAACCCAGAAAACAATAAAATGTTTTTTTAAACATTCTCCTAGAGAATGACCCATGTTATAAACACAGGCATTTACAATTCCTGCTATAGAAATAGTGACATGGAGTTAATCTAACCTAAGAAAATTTCAGTTGGGTTATTTATTTGCCTGATTTGCTTCTAGAAAATGTGGACAAGTTATAGGATACATGAACGTTTCTAATTCTCAGCTCCTAAGGTCTCTTATGTCATAACTAAGGTAATGGCTGGATCTTAGTCATGTCCTTTCATATTTCCAGTATTAAAATAAATAAAATAAACATTGTTTTTTAGACTAAGCAGCCAGGGACATAATTTTAAAAGTACATCTGAAATACCAAAGCCCACATTTTCTTAAAAATATGTGATGTCCTGGTAAAAACATTTGATAACAAGTCTGAAGATCTGAGTTCTAGTTGTGGTTCTGTGGATCTTGGACAAGTCACCTAATCTCTTTGGTTTGGGCCTCAAATTCCTCATCTGAAAAACAGAAGCGGTGGTCAGTGGTTTTCAAACCTACCTGTATGTTACAATCACCTGGCTATTTTATTAAATCCGCATGTGCAGACCAGTATCCCAGAGAATCAATAAAATCTCTGGGGAAGGGACATGGCTATTAGAGAGTTCAGTTCCCCCAGATGATTCCAATGTGAGCCAAGGCTGAAAACCACTGAGTAGGAGGATGCTTCCTAGTTCCTTCTAACACACAACGAATCCCAAGGTGAGCTGCATATCGGAATCATCTGAGGAACTTGTAGAGCCTACCATTACCAGGGCCCATCCTGGCTCAATTCAATCACAGCCTTAGCGGTACCAAAGCACTGGTATTGCTTTAAGAGCTCGCCAGATGATTTCTGATGCATCACCATGACTGAGACTCACTGTCAAGACACGTGTTTGACAGAACAACTAGCCTTAGACTTATTGAAATAGCAAGGTTTTGTCTGGTTACAAGCAGGTTGTTGACAATAACCTAGAATTACATAAAAATTTCTAGGAAAACAAAATATACACAAACCCCCCCACCCACTTCCTGTGAGCTAAGCAATATTCCAAGGACACCTACTGATAATTAAGGAATAATGTCTCTAATATGATCTGACTTACTGGGAAAATACAATTATAGTAAATTACCACAGGAAGAAAGAAGGAACAAAGTGAAAAGACATACATATAATCTGGGTTTTACCAAACTGCTACACAAATCGAATTTAGATAATAAACATGAAAACAAATTATGACAGTACAATGCACACTTTGTCAAAAAGAACTGATCCATTTGGCTTATATGTCATGTGAAAGTAAGAGGGAGAAAGTGAGAGAAGGCTATCTCAGCATGCTTTAAAAAAAAAAATCTCGGGAAGAGACTTAAAACATGTTTCTTAAATATTTCACTAATGAATTCTCACAACTGTTTTTTTCTTAATCGCTTGTGAGTTGAGCAGGCTGAAAACCAAATTTTTTAGAGAGGATTTACCCTTACTGTGGGCTGAAATATTGGCTAATTAATAAAAATAACCTTTAACGCACTCAGGAAAATAGCATAAAAAGCAGCAGCAGCCATTATTAACAGATAAATGGTCTATAACTTTAATAGCTTATAAAACCTAGGTAGAGGAAACTAAAATGATACTTAATCACTGTGTAAAATACCCTACTTATAAAAGTGGTAAAAGATAGTATTTTTAATGAGAAAAGCATATTTTTAATATTTTAATGTATTACAGATTATTTAAAATGTGTTTAGCTACTTTAAGTATAAGGAACTCAAAAGTTAAAATGAGTAATCCTCTAACAAATGGCTAGTCAAATTAGTCATTTAGACTTTTAAGTAAGCATTAACCATTAAGACAGGTCTGAACAATTTTTTCATTTTACGAAGAACTTTGATGTGCTTACCCACATCACTGCATTCATTTACATGAAATGGTCTTCTTCACTTTCTTCTTCACTGTGGTACAGCAAACAGCTAGGGGACTTCCTAAAACAGGCTGGGCCTTGCCCACCGCCCATTTTGAAGATTCCTTTGCAATCTGTTGTTGTTGCTTTGGCATGGGCAAGTTACAATTCTAAGCTAGCCTACTGCTAACAACAACAACAATGACAAAAAGTGTGTTAAAACTCCTTGGGATAAGAATCAAGGATATTGAATTCATTCAAAAACATACTTTAGAAATGGTGACAAGCTCCAGCCTGTCAACACGACACTTTGAGCTGTAACCTTGGAAAAATCCTGAAAGATCCACAGGATGGTGGGGAAAGATGAGGAAGTTGCCTGGATTCTAAAAGGGACTGAGAACAGCCTTGTTCAAATGCGTGAATGAAAGTATATATACATTTAAACCAGAAATGATAAAAACATCAATTAGCCAACAATAACTCACTGAATCACTGTAATAACCTTCAAGAAAAATCTCACAAGCAAGCCACTAACATGAAATAAATCTGAAATACCCCAGGGAGAAACTCATACATCCAAAGATACCTGCAGCATCCTGGATGTCAGATTCTTTTCTTCATTACTCGGCCCCTGCCCCTAGCCTCTTTCCTTACTGTAGCTTTCATGCATAAGATTTGCAGTTACCTAAACAGGCAGACACCAGTGTCCTCTCCAGCTGGAACAGTTCCCAGTTTGCTTCTTAGTCTCACTAATTCCTCCTTGGCCTTATGCAAAATCGCTCACATGCTTATGTACATCTCTCCGGTAAAGAGAATCCCTAGGTCACCATTAGACTCTTAAAGGTATCTGTGAGCCAAAAGAGCTTAGGAACCAGTATTCTCCAGAGTTGCCAACTAAAAACATAAGAGAAAGTTGCATGGGTGCCAAAGATCAGACTGGAAGTCCCATACACTAATGTTCACACCAATGAAGGTCCCACGGGATTTGTAACGGACCCACAGCTAACACCAATACATGACAAAAATATTCAAATCCTAAAAGCATCTACCTATAAAAATCATTTACTTGCCCCTATGTTTTGGGAGAGAAGCTTAGAAGAGGAAGATGTACAGCTGGCTCCATCTAGACACACCTTCAATCTGTACTTCAGGATACAACTATTGAAGCAGCTCACACATTTTATAGTCATCAGTGGATTCAACTACTTAATTTGAACTCCATAAAACATTTAGAAGACACTTAATTTTCATTTAATGGAAAAAATTGTAATGAAGTTAGCAAAGGGATTAACATATGAATTAAATAGTATTTTCTTAGAATTTATACACATATATGTATATATTTTGATACAGTGTTCCATTACACCAGTGTAATTTAACTGCTTTATTCTAAAAATAAAACCCCTTTGCTTAGATACTGAAGCAGGTACTATTTAAACCCGTAGTGTTGATGAAAATTAAATTAGAGAAATCGGAGAAGTCTTTACACAGCCAATATTAACAAGTGCTCATTATAAATAGCACTCATGCATAGTCATTTTATGTACAAATTTTGGTTACTGAAAGATATTCACTGAGCAAGCAATTTCAGGTAATTTGCTGGTTGTGATTATTGTAATACGTAATTTTTAGTTGTGATAATTACCCAAGAGATTCAGAATACACAATTTGTAGAATAATTATGGAACTTCTACTTATTTCTTTAGGCTTAGTATTTTAGAAGAGAGGCTGTGAATTTATGAGGCCTGCAATTTATTTTTCAAGCCCCTGTTGATTTATCTTTGTATGGCGGCTTGCATGTCTCAGATTCTCCTCCGTAAGTGCTATTTCCTATTAAATACGGCTCCTTTCAAAGTGTCAAGGGTAGCATAAAGACGTTCAGAGTTCATTTTCATGGAGTGGACCACCTACCTCCTCATGATTCAAAAGTCAGTAAAAAGAAGCCTAACTCAAAGCAATGTTTATAACTTCCACCATTCTCAAGTCGAAAGTCAGGTAAGGCACAGGGAGTTGTGGCTCACTTGAGCCCCACTCTCTATCCTCGAAATCTATGAAGTAATAGTTTTAATTATTTGTTCCAAAATTCTAACTGGGGGTGGGAGTAAGGAGACAGTCCATTCTTAGTAGAAAATCAAAATAATTTGGAAGTTGATTAATATAACAAAGTTAATAAAGCCGGGTACACATTCTTAAAGATAATAGAATGAACTTAAATTTGTTATACTACTTGAAGGGGTCACTTATCTTTTCACTATAATTTTTAAGTTACATTTTCCCCTCAAAAATACATTGCTGACTTAATAATACTGTCAACTGGAAACAGTTCATGAAAATAACAAGACACTCAATTACAGGAGTGATTTTTAGGGTAATGTCGAGAGTAAGTTTCTTCTGTTCACTCAGGAGTCTGTGTGCTTTTCTCTTAGGCTACAACTTTATGAAGTTAGTTCTCACATGGCACTCTGACTGCACACTTAAACTGCCTAGCTTCAACATTTTTAATATACACATAAAAATCATAGAGGACTTTAAAAAGTTGACTTCTTAAATCTCAAATGCCCAAATGGTGGTCACTCAGGATGTGTGCTACTCTGCACTTCAAATGTGGTTGCTCTAAATTGAAATAGGCTATAAATGCGGATACACACTGAATTTCAAATAGTTTAAAAAAATGTAAAGCCGGGCGTGGTGGCTCATGCCTGTGGTCCCAGCACTTTGGGAGGCTGAGGCGGGTGGATCACAAGGCCAGGAGTTCAAGACCAACCTGGGCAAGATGGTGAAACACCGTCTCTACCAAAAATACAAAAAAACTGGCCAGGCGTGGTGGCAGGCGCCTGTGATCTTAGCTACTAGGGAGGCTAGGGTGTGAGAATCGCCTGAACCTGGGAGGTGGAGGTTGCAGTGAGCCAAGATCGCTCCACTGCACTCCAGCCTGGGTGACAGAGCAAGACTCTGTCTCAAAAAAAAAAAAATGTAAAATATCTCATTAAGAATTTGTTATAATGAATACATCCTGACATAATATTTTAAATATTTTAGGTTACATAAAATAGATTGTTAAAATTCATTATATTTGCTTATTTTTATGTTAATATTAACATAGCTACTAGATAATTTAAAATTACCTGTACTTACATGATACTTCTGTTGGATACTGTTGTCCTTAAAGTTCACCAGCTCCCAACATCTGTTATATCCATTCTTTGTTTCTATTTCTCTTTAGTTTTTACCTCCTCTTTATTTTCAAGGATCTTTAAGGATCCTTGAATTCATTTATATATTCCCCTATAGTAGAACAGCCTTCCTTTATCCTTACTCCACAGTGGGAGAGTATCCCATCTCTAATACCCTCCATACCAACCATCTAAAAAAAGTAAGCAACATTATATTTATCAGTTCCTCTTCTTCACTGCATGGTAACTTCCATACCCACCACCACAGTAGTTGCTGTTTGAGAGGTCAGGCCCTTACCATCACTTATCCAAACAATAGCCCATGGCCACCTATTGGTTCCACTGCTTCCAATCTATCACCTTTAACACATTTTCCATACTCTGCCACCATCATCTTTCTAAAGCACAGGTCAGATCACTTCATTTACCTCCTGAAATAAATGCCAATGGTACCCTAATTTTTATAAAGTTCGCATTTCTGAGCATGACATTCATTCTCTCCAGGCCAAACGAGAAAATCCCAGCCACATTTCTTATTACATCTCTCCTCAAAACATATGGCCCCCAATTTTTTTTTTTTTTTTTTGAGAGGGAGTCTCACCCTGTCACCCAGGCTGGGATGCCCAGTGGCATGATCTCAGCTCACTGCAACCTCTGCCTTCCAGGTTCAAGCGATTCCTGTGCCTCAGCTTCCCAAATAGTTGGGATTACAGGCATGTGCCATCACACTCAGCTAATTTTTTGTATGTTTAGTAGAGACGGGGTTTTGCCATGTTGCCCAGGCTGGTCTCAAACTGCTAGCCTCAAGCAATCTGCCTGCCTTGGCCTCGCAAAGTGCTGGGATTACAGGCATGAGCCACCCCACCCAGCCGATGACTCAAATTCTTATACTACTATATTTTATTCCCTCAACTGCCAGGTTCATTAAAAACCCTTTACATGTCTTACGGCTTCAGGCTGCAAGAGCCTTCCCTCACATGGGTGTTTATCAAAATCCATTCATCTCCTAGTGAAACTATCTCCAGTCCCCGAAATTGGAATTAATCACTCTATTCTCTGAAGCCGCATACCACTTTGCCACCATCAGTAGTAGGACATTAATTCTTTTATTACCTTGAATTATATTCACGTATCTCCACTGCATGATTCTTAAGAAATAAGAATGAAAGAATGAAAGAGAGGGAGGGAGAAAAGGGAAAGAAAAAAAAAAAAAACAGAAAAAAATTACTCTTAAGGATAGGAAGCCAGTCACATAAACCACTATGTTCCCACAGTGCCTATTCCTCCCATGGTCTACATATGGGGAACTCTACAGAAGAAAAGTTTGCTAAAGAAAGAACAAGATGAATGAAATTGATTCTGGGTTTAAAAACTCAGAAATTCAGTGGGATTTTTAATTCTCACTTTAAAATGACATTTTGCTCAAGAAAGAACAATGTGAATGAAATTGATTCTGGGTTTAAAAACTCAGAAATTCAGAGAGATTTTTAATTCTCACTTTAAGACGTCATTACATATAGTATGTGTTGAATTAATGCATAAATGAATACACTTCTGTACATACTCATGTAAATACCTTGTAACAAACTTAACCGTATTTACCACTGAAATGAAACCTCTGGACGAGGAATACAATCCTCAATGGGAAGCTGTCTATATTCTCAAATATTCATAAAACTCCACTTCAAAACAAAAATAGAAGTGGTAACTATTTATATGGGTTTGTGACCTAATACTAAAACCTCAAAAAAAAAAAAAAAACAGAAATTGTGTGAGATCCCTATCTGTTACAGCAAGTGGATATTCTTTTTAAAGGTCACAAAGATATGATGAGTCATAACCCCCCAGTAAGCTTTGCCAAATAGCTGGCTGAAAACCAACTCAAAGAACACAGACATGCCATGGGAAGTAGGCATGTCATACCAAGTTACTTTTAATTTTTTTTCATTGAAATACTACCCTGCAACAGGTTACTTTTAATTTTCAGTGGCAAATTGATGGATAGAAATGCACAAAAAGGAGATATGGCAAAAATATCCGAAAACTGTTAAAATACTGGTCAATAATATGGAATACTTAGAAAACTAAATCTTAATTTACCAGAATTAAAGAAATTTAATTGAGGCTGATTTGTGTAAAACATTCATTGTTGCTTCCAAAACTTAAAAAAATTTTTTAAGCAATTCATTTTTGTTACAAAACTAAAAATGGAACCATATGAATTGCTAGACTACTGTTATTGAGCTGCACAGGGACACGAACAAGCTCTTTTAGGCCCACTCACCGCTATCTAACTATAGCAATAAGTTAATTTTGAGTAACACCAAACTAAACATTTAAGTCAATTAGTACGTTGAACAGTACATCATACATACATCCAATAGAATACCATTATATGAAAGGAAACTTTAACTTTTCAAGTAAATTTCTGCTAATACATTCAAATGTCACCTAAATAAATTTTACCAGATTAAATTTTTGAGAAAGATTAGTCACTTATTTTCTTAAAGATTCTACTTTTCCTCAAAAAACTGTGATATGGCCGGACACAGTGACTCACACCTGTAATCCCAGCATTTCTGGAGGCCAAGATGGGAGGATCACCTGAGCCCAGGCGTTCGTGAACAGGTTGGGCAACATGTCCAGACCTCGTAGGTAGAGATATTCTGCATTACCAGTGATATTATTGCACTAACTAGCAATATAATCTTGAAAAGAATCCTGAGAATCTGGTATGTGTCCAGTGAGCCCTTTTAACAGTTCAATACATAGTCTTATTTGTGAAGTAAAATCCTATGTTCAGAGAAACACATATAATTTAATGGAAAAACATAATTTCATCATAGTTGGATATAATCATACATTTTTATATACATTTTATAATTATATATGTAATTATATATGGCACAAAACATAATGAGAATTTATTTTTAAAAGTCCTTATTTGCTTTAAAGAAAAAAAAGCAAAACAAAACTGAGATCCTTCTCAAGACTATACTGTGAGTTTGTGCAAAGGTTATTCGGAATAACTTCTTTTGAAGTAGAATCGTATATATCAGCATAGAGCTGGAAAGGACCTTAGACATACTGTGGTGTAACTCCATGAATTATTAGATAAGTAAAGGAACTCAGAGGACTTGCATGATACAACTAGTTGGAAATAGAATCAAGACTAGAATTGGGATCCCTTGATGCGTCAGTGAGTGCTCAGTCATTACACTATCATTGTGTAGGTAACAAATATGTAACCACTCTATGTTATAAAATTAGAAAACAAGCCACCAATAAGGAACCTAAGTTCACAGAACTTTTCCTAAAAAATATTCTTCATCCTTTGGCTGTTTGGCCAGCTTAACTATTTAAGCTTCAGTGCTAACACTTGTCTTCAACTGAGCCTTATAAAACCAAGATGAAAAGTATCTTCCATATAAATTTTAAAAGAAAATATTAAGTTAACTTTCCAACCTTCTACAAAGCCATTTTTCATATAAAATGATGTTTTCTTAAAATACCTACAAACTTTAAAGAAGAAAATTTATTTTTAAAAATCTTTAGCTTAATACAAAAACTTATAAAAGATCTTTAAACTATTCCTGTCCCACATCTTTAGTAATATGTGTTTCTCTAAGGACCTGTCTGTGTATTTGTTTTGTAGTCTTTATTTTACAGGTAAGTTGTCCAAGTACTCATTCACCTGAAATTCCATCAGGACAAGATCTGTGTTTTCATAATATAAACTTTATGCCAGTTTCATGCTGTATACTAAGCTGTCTTATGTCATTACACTATATTTATCCAACTATATTCTTAAGTTTCTTGAAGGCAGGAGTCATATTTCATATTTCTTTTGTTTTGCAAATGGTAAACATATAATAACTGTTCCTTGTAGATAACAAAATCTATGACTTAAATCTCACTATTTGAGCCACCAACAGAAATATGCATTCAGGTTAAAGTACACTGAAGAAGAGAATAGCATTAATAGGTATTATTCATTGCATATATTTCAAAAAAATAAGTATTCATTGTTTATTTGGTTGATTTATAGAAACCAGTTATAGAAATAACTGATAAAAATGCTTTCCTGTAACAGTTTTTAAATATCACTTTAGGAAAAATGCAAGAGTATATTCAAAAATAGGAGCACTGAAAATAAATTAAGAAAAATTCCTAAAACTATGTATTATTTAACTTAATTGTAGCTTTTAGATTGTAAGATCAGAATCACTGTCAGCTGCTCAAAAGACAAAATAACCCACCATTTAGGAACATTCATTCATTCACTTAGCTCATATTTATTGAGTTCAGCTACCTGCACGCACCCATCTGGGCAACAGTGACACAGCAGTGAATGTATAGAAAGATATCTGGATAAACCAATGCAACGGAGAAACAGATAGAAGCAGACAAATACACACATAAAGCAAATCTTAAAACATAACTTTGGTTTTATTATACTCAACCTTGTTATAATAACATCAGAAGTAGTTTAAAAAGTATTATGTATATAAACACATATTCTGTCTATGAGGAGCTCAGGAAACAAACATACCCAACACTTGAGTTTCATCATAGGAGATTATTAACATAGACTGAATGACAAGAACGGAATTCCACTCCTTAAAAATTGTATCAACAGTCATTTAACTCCTTGAGCAGCTTAGAAGCTGGCAGATGATTAGCAGGAGGCTATACTACCAGCTCAGTAGATGCTCCCATCACAGAGCCAGCCACTCATGAGTCTACAAACAGCACCTTGAGACTTATTTTTTAAACATACATACAGTCTACCAAGAATCACAAGCAAAACAATAACCTCATTACCATCTTGGATTTGTTTTTAATCCCAGAATATCTACTAAAAGATCTGCTTTATGCTTACTCTTTTTTATGATTGGTGGAGTCATAAACTCAAAGTCTGAGAGAAAGAAATATGTATAAACCCCAAGCTGCCCCAGCAAGCTGCCAAACACTGTTCTTATTGTTTTCCTTTACAAATCCTGGTTGGTTATCTACTTTCTCAAACAGACGAGGGATCAGATGGGGGAAAGGTCATGTACACTGTTTAATAATACCTATAATAACAATAAAGCAATGGTAAACTACATATGTGATTTTAATGTCCCATTATCATGTTTCTGAAGTGAAGAAATTCAGTGAGAAAAAAAGATGGGACATTTAGAAACAGGGAATCAGCACTCCCTAATAACAAAATATAAGCTAGCATAGCAAACTAGCAAGCCTAAAATTACTAAAGAAACATATTTGTAAACATCAGAAGAAAAAAAGAAACTTTAAAATGTCCACTGGCTTCAAGATGAAATATAAACTAACACTTCCACCAAAGACAGAACGTGTACACCCTGAGACCTGCTTGATAGGAGCTCTACAAATTAAGTTAAGCTGGTTCTGCTATGAATTTATACCTGTTTAAAAATCAATTGGGCTGGAAATAGTGCCAATTCAAAGAGATTTTCTATTGGGAAATGTTTTGCTCTTATTTTATTCAATAAAATTAATTACTTACATTTCCAATTGCATTTACTATAGCATGCTGTTACTAAAATAAGTTTCTTGGCCCAAAATCTTTTTAAAAAAATGTCCTGGTAAAAAATTAAAATACCTGGATTTTTTGTGTGTGTGAACCAGATTCACTTAAGCAGTTTAATATTTATTTTTATTTTAAATTCCTAAGACATACACCACAGCTCACCAACTAGCCTATTTTAGTGAAATTACAAAAACAAATCAGAGGTTTTTGCACGGGTATAACTTAAAGCATTTAGCGAAGAAATAGCTAAACTTCATAAGACTTTAATTCTAAACCTCAAAATAAAAAATCAAAGGAAACCTATATACTCTTCTGTTTATGTCCAATGATAGATAACTTACTGACCAAATCAATAATATTCCATAGATTCAGAAAATAATTTATAGTTCTGTCATGTTTCTATAATTATAAAAAGTAGGAAATATTACATATAATTATTTGCAAGACAGAAATTAGTTTGATTTTTAAAAATCAGACTCCAACGCTGAATCAAACTCTATATTAATTTCTTTGTACTTCTTGTTAGGAGTAAATGCCTGCTACTTCCAGGAAATACTAAGTAAGGTTGCCTCCTGATCAATTTTAGACCGTAAGTACTTCATAGGTATAAGTTTAAGATACTACTTAATGCACTAAGTATACATATTTTATAATATGTACAGTATAGAAACATGTTTAAAATCCATTAGTTCTCCAGTTTTATTACTACTTTTTATTATCAAAGCCATTAGATACTAGAAGAAAAGCATTAGCAGATATGTATGTGATTAAAAGCATTTCTTTTTTATTCTAATCCAAGTGATTAAAGAGTATTTTTCAGGAAACCTTAATTAGGCCTTTCCCTGAATAGTAGAGAAGTCCTGCTGGGCAAAAACAAAAGTAGGATTTTAATTCTAATTTTTGACATAGATCCAAGTTGATAGAACTAAATTTTTTGAGTCATTATAAACACAGTTAGCTAAAAGGTATAGTTAGTATCTTTCAATATTGTAGGATTAGTCTAAATCTGGCACTAATGCTAATGAACAATCCCTGATATCTGTAGAATTTTATGACAGAATTCATGGCTGTTGGGCAGACAGCAATATAGAGTTTAAAAACCAATTATTTCACCTCATGGCCTGGTGGCTTTGAGTAAGTCACGGAAACAAGTTTATAAACTTCTATTATCTTAAAAATGACTGGCCTACACACACACATACACTCTCAAATCAATGCATGCATAACTAGAGAAATATGAATGAGCTCTGTGGATGACAGTAATGTCAATTTCCTACTATTGATATTGTGCTACAGACGTTAACACTGAGGCAAACTGGGTAAAGTTTCAAAATAAAAAGCTTTAAAAGAGAGACAGACAGATTTCCCTAGATAAACCCCAGTATTCCATCAAG
Source organism: Homo sapiens (assembly GCF_000001405.40). Taxonomy (NCBI): domain Eukaryota; kingdom Metazoa; phylum Chordata; class Mammalia; order Primates; family Hominidae; genus Homo; species Homo sapiens. The sequence continues at coordinate 105,811,680 of NC_000003.12, forward strand.
TTCTGTAATTCTACAACCCTACGAAAATTACTTCCTTTTTTTTTTTTGAGACGGAGTTTCACTCTTGTTCTCCGGGCTGGAGTGCAACGGCACGAACCCGGCTCACAGCAACCTCCACCTCCCAGGTTCAAGTGATTCTTCTGCCTCAGCCTCCCAAGTAGCTGGGATTACAGGCGCCTGCCACTGGCTAATTTTTGTATTTTTAGTAGAGACGAGGTTTCACCATGTTGACCAGGCTGGTCTTGAACTCCTGATCTCAGGTGATCTGCCACCTTGCCCTCCCAAAGTGCTAGGATTACAGGCATGAGCCACCGCACCTGGCCCCATTTCCTTTTTTTTTGTTTTGTTTTTTTAAATACTTGGTCTCCCTTCCCTTCTTGTTTGTTTGTTGTTTTAACTTACCTGTCAATGACTTAAACCTGCCAGTAATATCCATATTACTGCTTTGCTGCTAATGGCATATACAGTTAAAGAGGACAAATAGGTAGATGCAGAAATTGGCATATATGACTGGCTAGCTATAAATATTAAAAGATAATGCTGCAAATGTTTGCAAAGATACTTTCTTAAACCTAAACACTCATCCAACAAATATTTACTGAGCACCTACTATGTCTCAATGGCTATGCTATTAGTCACCTAGGGCACAAGAATGAATAAAAACAGACCAGTCACATCCCACTGATCTGTAAACTCAGATCAGTGGGATAAAGGAAGGAATAAAACTAACATGCACACAAAAGTAACACCACAACTGTGCCAAGAGCTATGCAAAGGAATTTGACTTAGTGAAGTCTGGAACATCTTTTCTGAGGAAGATACGATCTAAACAGCAAAATGGAGTTATTGATGCTAAGAGGAAGAAATGACAGCTCCAAGTAGAAATGAGCAAGGGCAAAAGTTTTGTTTTAAAAGGAGGCAGAGCAATTGCAAAGGGACTGGAAAAAAGAGTCAGCATGGATGCAGCAAAGAAACAAGGGAAACCCTGTGAGATGAAGATACAAAAGTAAGAAGGGCTAGACTCAGGAAGATCTTATAGGTGATATTTAGATGTGGTATCTATCAGAAATGTGGGGTGCTTATTCTTTGTGCTTCCTATTTCTATATTAATTTTATCTAAAATAACTACTAACCTTCTTCTTGAATGCTGTTTGAAATAAAATCAATATCTTAATGTCAGTCCTAATTTCTCATTTCAACTTAGTCATCTTAGGCCGTTACTTAAACTGATAGTCTATCAATTTTCTTATCTAGGAAATGTAAATAAAATCATCCTCAGCCCTATTTATGTCTCAGTGCTACTAAAAGAATTAAATGGTAAAGTACATTTTAAAGGATAAAGTAAACAAGCAGTATGTTAATTCAAAAGCAGTATTTCAAATACTATTAAAGCTAACCCACCTAAACTATGGCTTAGATAAAATTCAGGTAACTTAGCAAACAAAAGAAGGAAACAATGGCACGCCATTTCCCTACAAGAAGGAAGAGTAATAAAATGATTAAGAAACAACTCCAGAAAATATTTCACCTTATAATAACACATTGCAAACAGAAGGAAGTCAAATTAACTAGATCAAACAAAACATGGGGCTTATCCCTGCTGGCTTGTTTCACAGAGGAAAATATTTTAAGAATGGAGAATGACAGACATGGGGATAAAAGAAAATTCATTTTACAAACAATAGTTACTGAATATTCTAAGTTATTAGTAAATAAAAAGTGGGTGCCCCTTAATCACTTTATTATATGTATAATTTTTATGCAATGGTATTTTGAGTAAAGTTATTAATAAATCATCATTTCTCCTCCTAAATATTAACATTGTCTGACTATAAAAATGAGTCCTAATTTCAATTACCAACTAGTCTTTCAGTTGTCAATTATACTTCAATAAAGCTGGAAAGAAAATAAAAATTAAAATTAAAAGTCTTTAAAGGTTTGTAAGGTTATTCCTCCAAGGACCAAAACCAATACTGTATTTATAATTTATCACAGAAATATTAGATATATATTTTTTGTGATGAAAGTATTACATGAAACAAGTAAGCAGCTATACATATGGAACCAATATTACAAGATTTTTATTGTTAGACCTACACCAAAAAACTTCAATAACAAGAAGCCAAGTGTGGTATTCCTCAACTAATCTTAAAAAATTGTGACTGTTTCCTTGTCTTTCTCACTTCTGGAAAATCAGCTTTTCTCCTCTTCAACACTGGCAGCATTTCAATGAAAACCTGTCATATATACTGCTTACAAAGCCTATCAGACTTGTCTAATAAGAAAGATCGTAGGACAGAAAAAGTTGATAAAATTATAACTACCTCTATAATTTGGTTTCAAATGTAGTTCAATTAAGCAATTCTGATTGTTTGCTTGTTTAATTCTTTCTAATGAAAATTTAAAAAAAGATCATCAGGTTTTTATGCCCAAACACTCATGACTCAGAACTTGAGAAATCAAAGAGTGAGACTCAAAATCCGAATAGAATTTCAGAAAGAATTAAATTCTCCCAACTAAAGCTTTTGTGTGCTTTATGTTTATACGTGCATCAGAGATAAGAAAAACAAAATGTGACGGAAAATAAAACTAACAACATAGAACCCAGATAAGAGGATTTATCAATATACCTAAATCATTAATCAGTATTACTGAGACTGTTGATTCCCTTTTGTTTTGTTTATGCAAATGGTATATTTAACTCTTTTAAATTCTGTAACAAACCTGAACTCAGTTATTTGTCACAAGAGTAAACAGACTTTGATGCTACAAAACTAAAATTGTTTAATCAATTAACTTCCACCACTGAATATATTGAAGGAAAATAGCGTACATGTACAATATGTACTTAAGGAATGACAAAAAGGATTCATGGAAATATAAATGAATATGGCAGCAAGTTATGCTGAGTCTCTTGAAATCACTCTTGTGTCCATTCCTTCTTTTGCCTACTGCCATTCCTACTGCCATTATCTTCAGTTTAGGCTTCAATTATTTCTTACTTATACTACTACAACGTCTTGTTTAGGACCGTCCTCATTACCAATTTCATGATGCTCCAATTTATACTCAACAGTGCTGACAAATTTTCATAAACACACCTCTGGTCATGAAAATTCTCTTCAATTATCCCTCATGTCCAATGAATATGAGAAGAAAATCCATAGTCTAAGATTCAGTCACCTCCCAGATATGGTCCCACTTATCTCCAGAGCCAAATTTTGTACCCACCCCCCACCCTCTAATGCCACACACCCTGTATCTCCTGCCCCTGTGTCTCACACAGTACAGTCTCTCCACTTCCATCCTTAGCCACTAATATCCCAACTGCTTCCGAAGATGAATTCAAATGCTAGCTCCTTCACAAAATTATCTGTAATTAGCCCTGTCAGGCATAAGAAATTCTCTCTCTTCAGAATGTGTTTATACATCTATGAAAGCACTTCCCAGTGCATTTTCATGCAAAATCATACTGTCTTTTGTAAACCTACATTATTGCCCTAATTTAAGAACTCCTTCAGTGCAGATTGAGATTTAAATCTACAAAAAATGCTTTGTACACCTGTAGGTACCTACTCTTTATTGAATGAATGATAAAAATATCTTTGTTCTTTTAGAATGTAGTAGTGAAAGGAAAGACAAAAGCATCCGTTCTGTTCAAAGGATGATTAGCAAAAAACACAGGAAGAAAGGCTGTTAATGGCTTTATATTACAATGGAATATCAATGACAATTTCTATCAGTTCCAATGAAACTGAAAGAAATTTCATGATGTATCACTGGCCATTAGAGAAATGCAAATCAAAACCACAATGACATACCATCTCACGCCAGTTAGAATGGTGATCACTAAAAAGTCAGGAAAAAACAGATGCTGGAGACGATGTGGAAAAATAGGAATGCTTACACACTGTTGGTGGGAGTGTGAATTAGTTCAGCCATTGTGGAAGACAGTGTGGCGATTCCTCAAGGATATAGAACCAGAAATACCATTTGACCCCATAATCCCATTACTGGGTATATACCCAAAGGATTATAAATCATTCTACTATAAAGACACATGCACACATGTTTATTGCAGCACTATTCACAATGGCAAAGACTTGGAACCAACCCAAATGCCCATCAATGTTAGACTAGATAAAGAAAATGTGGCACATATACACCATGGAATACTATGCAGCCATAAAAAAGAATGAGTTCATGTCCTTTGCAGGGACATGGGTGAAGCTGGAAACCATCATTCTCAGCAAACTAACACAGGAAGAGAAAAGCAAAAAACCAAATACCGCATGTTCTCGCTCATAAGTGGGAGTTGAACAATGAGAACATATGGGCACAGGGAGGGGAACATCACACACTGGGGCCTGTCGGGAGGTAGGGGGCAAGGGGAGGGATAGCATTAGGAGAAATATCTAATGTAGATGATGGGTTGATGGGTGCAGTTAACCATCATGGCACATGCATACCTATGTAACAAACCTGCACATTCTGAACATGTATCCCAGAACTTAGTATATTTTTTAAAAAAGAAAAAAAAAATTGCATGATGTCATCTGATCTTGTTTTTCTCTTTGCAAAACCATGAAATTAGTAAAAATTAGTAAATTGACTGCCCTTATTAATTTTAAAAAACGAACAAATTGGCTGCTCCAAAATCACTTGAAACAAACGTGTCAACTAATTTTTTCTAAACCATTTAGAAAACTACTAAGCAGGCAATTTCAAATTTAGCACTTAAGCTATTCTTTCTTCAAAAGCTTGATTTTTGCAATGTTAAGCTCCTGGGTATACCTAAGGTTACAGGTACATTAACAGAACTCTCATAAATACTTCTCACTAATCCCTATGATAAGAAGTACATTTTTAAATAATAAAAGCACTCCAGAAAGTAGTTTACAAAAAAAGAGAAGCAAAATGCAGTATTTTTAGAACTACAGGAGTAAATAGTGCATAAAGTAAGTTCTACTTTACATGTTCATGTACACAGCTGTTCAACTAATATAAAGCTAAGTACTTTTTAAAAACAAAGTCTCTATTTGAAAGTTGAAGTATCACCTATTTAATCAATTAAATCAATCATCAACTTTACTGAGCACCAAAATATGGGCCCAGCACTGCTGCGGTGGATACCAAAAAGTATATGGTCTCTTATTAATGGAACCTACTTTTAATCTTTAGTGACAACTCCACCACAATTCTAAGTAATGTTTAAAAAAAAAAGGGTTTTTGATATATATACATCAGTATGCATGCTATTAAAAGTGAAGACAGGTTCAGCAAAAGGAGAAATCAGCAAGGTCTAAAGGCTTATGGAAGAGCTGGGACAGGAACTGGGTGTGTAGGATTCCAGATGAGTGGGAGAATTAGCATGACATGTTTTTAGAATTATGAAGGCATGAAAATGAGAAGAAGACAAGTCCGTAGTAGTGAGAAATAAGACGGCATATGTAAAATAAACCAGATTAAAAAGAAGATAATTAATCTTTTGCAAGAAAAGCAAATGCCCAGAAGAGGATTAAAGTGTTAAAGACTTCTCTAGCTTTAGCACATTGGGGAGCAAGATATTAGAAGGCCAGCCATTATCAGTAATCTTATCATGAGTAAGGGAAGGATGAAATAACACAGTTGCAAGAACAGGGGACAAGGAGGAGCAGCAAAGATTATTTTTAAGGGAGAGGAGATTCTAGGACTTGGGACTAACTGAAGATGGTAAATAGAAGAAAAGGATGAGTAGCCATGGGTGACTTGAAGCTTGAGGACACTAAAAGAAGCAGCCTTGGAGAATACCGGCATTTAGGAGGATGAGAACCCTACAAGAGGAATGCACATTAAGTAGTTCAGAAGAACCAAGACAGACGATGTCACTGAAAACTAGAGTAGTGAATATTCTAAAAAACTATCGGGAGATGCAACAGAGCCCAAGCCACTGAGTTGAACAATGAGGCCGAATGAGGCCTTACTTGAGCAAGTTCTGAAAACTGTAACATACCAAAGCTCATATCTAAGAAATAACTGAAGGCATTAGTTGTAAGAAAAGACAGTTGTGTATGCCACTAGTCTGGCAATAAAGGCAAGCAGAAAAGTGACTACTGTAAGTTTTCAGGTTAATGTGAGAAAGATGCTGGTATTTAATAAATATTTTGGGTATCCGAGGTGTTATATAAATACACGTAAAGCAAAGTACATCATCACAACCAACAAAAGCTAATTTGCATTATTAAGTTTTATGTCTTTCAATTTATTATTTTAAATCATGATGATGAAACTTGCTTCCTGGAATAAAACACACTAGTGAAAATAAACAATTTTTTTCCCAAAAGATGTAATTATATTATCTTGTTTAAAATTCTGGTTTCCAGAAATCCATGTGCTTTCCTTTAAATATGTCACAATAATATTAAAGTGGCTGTTTCAAAAACACCACAAATTTCATCAAAATTAATGAAAACTTATCCCAAAGAAACTTCTCAGAATGATTATTCCAAAGAATGGACACAAATAAATTTGTAATAATAAAATGTATTTATAGGTCTAATCATGTAAAATCGAATCCTAGACTTAAAAGCATCAAATTTAGCAAATAAGCTATTAATTTTAATGGCTCATCATCATTACCAATTGACATTTATGGAGATTATACATCCACACTGATAAAAAGAAGGCTTGAGACATAAAATCTCCAGGTACTTACAATACATTTAGGGCAACTAGAAGGACATTTAAAAAGTAATGAAATGGGGTTCATGTTAATAATATTCCCTACTGAAAGTACCAGAGCAATTTAAAAATAAGGCACAATGACTACATAGCTTCTTCACTTCAATAAAAATGCTAAGAAATTGCACTGAAATTTATGAAATTAAGGCAACTTAATTTACGTTAAAAACTCAAACTTACCAGCAAAAAAATCATGAATAATTTTTACTTTTTATAGTAAGTATATTATAATGCAACTGTATATTACCACTGAATCTAATGCAAATGCTGTTTACGTAACTCTAAACACAAGAGAAACCGCAAAAATTCTTTAAACAATAAATTAAATACGAAAAGCATACAGATGTTCAGAAAAATAGATTGTGAAGATTAGTTTTATGCAAAATTCTAAGAAGAGTATGCAGCTATTTTAACCTATTCTATTACTTTAAAACCTTTAGTAATTTATGAATATAGGATATAGAAAAATGAAAGTCTAGAGATTTAGATTAATTTGTAAAAAAAAATAAAATGGCTACATGAGGAAGCAAAACTATAGTGAAAAAGTTTGTTTCAACTCAACTATCCCTGACTTAACTTCATAATTGCATCTGTGAATCTGCAAATAGAACTTCTGCTTATGTATAGTTATACAATAACTCCATTCTGCTTCAAGCATACTTTGCAAAATGTTAGATATAACTTAAATCTAGCTTCATATATCAGTTAAATATAGTCAACAATGGTGAAAACACTTGAAGAGAAAAGTAAATATGAATATTTAAGTTGGAGCATAAATTAACAGATTCATCAAAACACATAATGAGGCCGGGTGCAGTGGCTCACGCCTGTAATCCCAGCACTTTGGGAGGCCAAGGGGGGTGGATCCCCTGAGGCAAGGAGTTCGAGACCAGCCTGGCCAACACTGTAAGACCCTGTCTCCAATAAAAATGCGAAAATTAGCCAGGCGTGGTGGCACATGCCTATAGTCTCAGCTACTCAGGAGGCTGAGGCAGGAGAATCACTTGAACCCAGGAGGAGGAAGTTGCAGTGAGCTGAGATTGTGCCACTGAACTCCAGCCTGGGCAACAGAGCAAGACTCCACCTCTCAAAAAAAAAAAAAGAAAGAAAGAAAAACCATAATGAAGGGAAAGTAAGATGTATAGAAACAATTCAATTTCTCCTCAAAAGTGACAAGTAGTATTTTGTTGTTTTGTTTTGTTTGTTTGTATCTTTGCTCTCATTTCTACAAATGTGATATCATCAGAACTTTGCAGGAATTGATAAGAAGCAAAATTCATTCAACGGACACCATGCTTCCTTTCAGTTGGACTCACTGTCTTACATAGAGAGTCTCAAACCATTCCAAAACTTCATTGATACACAATTTTCCTATTATTATATGGAAAAATATATTCCTAAAATGAAAATGTTATCTTTATACCTGTATGTGAAATCCCACTTACCCTACATGTGTTAGGGCAGCAGTCCCCAACTATTTTGGCACCAGAGACCGGTTTCATGGAAGACAATTTTTCCATGGACCAGGGGCATGGGGATGGTTTCAGGATGATCCAAGTGCACTACATTTATTGTGCACTTGATTTCTATTATTATTACATTGTAATATATAATGAAATAATTATACAACTTACCATAATGTAGAATCAGTGGGAACCCTGAACTTGTTTTCCTGAAACTAGATGGTCCCATCTGGGGGTGATGGGACACAGTGACAGATCATCAGGCACTAGATTCTCTTAAGGACAGCACAACCTAGATCCCTCACATGCACAGTTCACAATAGGGTTCACACTCCTATGAGAATCTAATGCCACCACTGAGCTGACAGGAGGCGGAGCCCAGGTGGTCATGTGAGCAATGTGGGGGCAGCTGTCAATACAGATGAAGCTGCCTTCATTCGCCCACCACTTGCTTCATGCTGTACGTCCAGTTCCTGATATCGGTATCGGTCTGTGGCCCAGGGGTTAAGGACCCCTGTGTTAGGGTTCAGAAAGAAGCAGCTAGCAGAAAGAATTTAAAATAGTAGAAGCAAGGTTCGGGGGCAGGGGGTAACATTTACTTAGAATCTAAGAAAATATTTGTAATGTGTAAATGAACAGTACAGCCAAGATATCAGAGCTCATGCTCAACAAAAGCAATTCTACTCTGCCACTCATTCCTTCTTTGTTCCTATAGTGACTAAGGAAAATAACTTGTCCCAGCTTAGAAAGAGTATCATTTGTTTTAAACCCCTCCCATAATTAAGTTGAATTAATTTTACACAAACACCAGATAAAAATGCAAAACCTCAAAGAGCACAGAAAGAAATTCTTCAGAATTTTTTTTAATTTTATACCCTAAAATCAAGAAAATGTATAAAAGAAAAACTAGACTGTGTACTACTTCTAGGAAATAAATAGAACTATTAGCCTGAATATTCATTTTGCTTAAAAAGTCCTAGGAAGTTCGTTCTCTATTTCTGTTTCTTCACTATTTTCTGTTCCTTTTTGTTCTTTACTCAAAATTTTAGTTTTATAAAAACTAAAAATTCAACATTTTAATGGAAATTTGTAAAATCTGGTTTAAAAAATATACCTTTTACCTATATCATTGAAGGTAGGATATAAAGTGATGGGTTGTGAGGTACCATAAGAGACAATGATCCCCAACACTTACATTTTTTATACAAATACAAAATAAGAAATAAACATCATATTGTTTCTGTTTTACCAAATTTATAGGATGAAGAAAATTGATCCATGTACTTGTTCTGTCCCTTACATCCAAAAACAAAATACATCCAAACACAACATAATTTACATACCTAGCTAACATTATTCTACAATCCTGGTCCTTTAAAGATCAGATATCTATATCTATATCTATCTATCTATCTATCTATCTATCTATCACCTACTATTCAAATGGTGATATAACTGCCTAAGAGATCCATAAATCTTTCAATGCCGAACAGTTCAAAGGCTTACACATTCACCTTCCTAAAAGCCAACTGCCAGAGCAAATGATCTAATCAGTCCTTTCTAGTCCTAAAATAGGTAGGAGCCCATCACACAAACCAGTCTATACAGTAAGTTAAAATTTCACAGTAAGGGTACAGGTTCACATAAACACTACTGCCAAAACAAAACAAAAAGAAATCTTTGCAGGGCAGGTAGAAAAAGAACCTGATTACAAAGGTCAGGGCTTTTCAGAAGTGCCAGTGCCAAATGCGCATTTGGACTTTCCTCTTTGAACACACAAGAAAGTACTGCAATCATCCAACCTATGACCCTGGCTTTCTCAAGATTGCCCGGGATTGAAATGTTTATAAAAACAAAAACAGGATTTTTGCTCACTGATTTGTCCTTTCTTCCTCAACTAATGTTTCACCATTTCATATCTTTACCCAACTTCTTTTCCCTCCTACCTCAGAGGAAGAAACAGCTTCTTATTTTCAAGGTCATGATTTCATCCCTTCTCACTTCTTCTCATAGTTCAAATATAAATGAACAGAGATGTGAAGTCTGCATCTGTGTGTATCTCTGCTTGCCTCAATGTTATGATACTAAACACATCTTTCTGCATCTTAACATTTTTTTTGCTTGTTCCATACCAGCACATATAAATGTGGCTCATTATATTTAAAAATGGAAATGTTTCATCATATGGATGTATAAGTTATTTAACCAATTGACACTATTATAAATAACTTATATTATTATTTATCATTATCTTTTATTCATCTGCAACTATAATATGAACATATATGGTGCACACACACACATATACAATGGCAGTGTTGAACCAATGTATCAACAAATTACACTTTTGAATGGGATAACATGTTTAAGTATTTATAAATGCAAGAGGCATAGAAAAGCTGCTCAAGGAAAGCTGGCTGAATGTGAAAGAAATAAAATGCCTTAATGGTTCTAAGGCCTTCTAGTCATCTAACACCTCTAAAAGCTCAGGTCCTATTCTCAGGATGAGCATTCTAACAGGCAAAGTTTCTATGTCTTTCCATGGCTGGTCAATTCTGGAACTAACCGGTACTCTCTATTTTGGGTATTATGAATTGGATCTCCCTCTTCTTTTGAAAGTGAACTAAAATAATGTTCCCACTCAGTTACATTTGCTGGGAGGTTATTATCTGTTCTAGCATACTCAGGGCCAAACTAAACAAACAAATCTAAAATGGAGTGAAGGGATAACACTAGGACCTTTTTAGATATGCATGGGAAAATCTGCCTCCCATTTAAATGGTCTTCAATCTACTCTACTACTCTTAGTACCCAAACAACTCTATCCATTTTGTTTCACTTTTCCATCTTGTGTTTTCTTTTAAAAGCTACATTTAATTAATGAACATATATTACTAATATTATTCACTTCTCACCCAGTAGCACTGTCTACAGAAGTGAATAATGGCCTTCAGGTACATCAGCATTTTCTGCTCTCTGTAACTTCACTGCTCCTTAAATCAAACAAACAAACATAGTTGCTTCCCCAGAATAGCATAGATTAGGCTCTCAAGCCTTGCCCTTCTCACAATACACCCTACCTTGTTGACATGCTATCTTTGTGCTGCTTTTGTTCCTGTTTATCGCTCAGAAAAGTACTTGTTTATAGAATCCGTTCAATGCCCTATTCATCCCTAGAAGTTAAGTGTGTTGAAATTAAAAGGCTCTGCTTGAATTTGATAAGTTAAATGACAGAGGACAGAAGGTTTAAACAGCTTTATCTTAGGCTCCTATAAAAAGGCCCTAAAATGCAAACATTGTCTCTGACATTCTTCCTGCTTCTACTGAAAATAGATGGCAAGCTTGAACTTCACTGAAACAGCTGTTTCTGTTAGGATCAGCGTCTCTGACAAATAAAACCACACAGAATGGGGTGGCCCTGAAACAGAAGGCTCCCTGGCCTAATCTCATAGATGCTTCTCTTGGAGACCTTCCATCCACACAACGTAGGGGAAGGGCGAGAAGGGATGGCTTCCCCTCCAGACTGAACCATTATTTCTCTTGCTATACCTGTCTCCCTTAGTGGTCACAGCAATTGAGCATATACATTTTCATATCACAAACTATTTTCACAACACTAGAAGAGAATCTTGAGTTCAAAATAATCAGTTTAAGAAACACATAGGAGATTCATATTATTTGGTTAGCTTAACCTACTTCCAAATCAATCATTCTATTCCAAATCCTCCTGACTGAGTCACCAGCACCCTTTGATAAACAACTTATTGCTTTGCTGCTGGTTACTCTTCCTACTGCTATGCAAGGTCTGAGTCATGTACCTCAGCAATCTTGACCTTTGAAAAAGAGGAGGCTTTTCTGTCTGGGCCACAATTATCATGTTTATTTCAAGTAGCAACTAATCTCTTGTGTTGAGCTCTTACTCGCCAGGGTCCATGAACTCTGCACCCAGAAATTCTCCATACCAGGGTACAAAGCACCTACATGGTTCTCTTGAGCTTCCATTCTTATAATGTCTCCATCACTCTCTTCCTTCTTAGGCCCTCAAACTCAACCCTACCAAGCTGACTCTGAATCTCCCCACTGTGTTCTATTTTATTCTTTAAAAGAATCCAAATAAACTCTGACATTTCTCCCTCACATTCTCACCTTTCCTACTTCACCCTTTTGAACTCATAGGTTCTCCAAAACTCCTCTGCTTTCCTAACTTTGGTCCCCATCATCAGTCCTCCTGAGTAGTGGGAATCCCAAACTTAAGCTTACTGGTGTTTTCTTCCTGAAGCCTCAGCATTCCCCAAACTCCAGGTTTATAAGCTGTCAAATCCACCTGAGCTCCTTCTGCAGTCCTGCTCACTCTTCAAGGATCCATGTAGGGTGGGGTCCTGATAAGAAAGACAAGTCACTACAGTCTGTCTTTACAGTACAATTGTAGGCCTAAAGGGCTCTGTAACATGTACTATTGGTGGAGACTGTTACCATGGATGCAAAGTCAAATCTTAAACACCTTCACCGCTTATGCTTGTAAAATGGACTACAGGCTAGTTTTTTGCCACCCAAGCAAGGCAACTTTAGTTAACAAATATGCACCTGGAACCTAAACCAAGTACCACATATTTCTGTCACGTAAGAGGACTGAATATCATAAACACAGCCTTAGGTCAGGAGGGCTGTGGAGTAGAGTCAGCCTGACTTTAGCGAATTGCAATCTCCCCACTCTGGGCCCCTTTCTTCTTTGTGCCCTTCCCTGATGCCTATCACATAACCCATTCCTATTCACAACTAAATTATAGTAATAACATCTTAAAATACGATTTTTATGCCAACTGTGGGATTCAAGGTGGCAGAAATGACAATTTGGAGAGGGAAGCTAACAGCTCAGCCTCATCTGGTGTCCCTGATGAGACAGCAAGGGCATTCACGAAAGGGGAGCCTCCTATACCCTTCCACTTCACTCCAGCCACTGAGAAGGAGACCTCATCATTCCACCTTCTCTTGTTTAGACTTAGACCTACTAAAAGAAACATATCCCCATTCTTTGCAAAAGTGTTAGGACATGAGAGAGCCATATACACAATCCTAGAGTGTAATCAGAAGAGTACCTAGAGCGTTACTATAAAGGCATCTCTCCTTTTCTCTCCTCCTATCCTAGATTATTCCTCTTTATAGGATTTATCACTAACTGAAATTATAGCATGTTTGTATATGCTGATTTCCTTGTGGTCTACCTTCTCCATCACAGCGTCTGCTCCATGAGGACTGCATCTAGGTTATTCACTACTAAATCCTTTGTGTCTCAAACAAGGTTGGCACACTGAGAGCCTGTAACATATACTAGTGGGATGAAAAAAAGAAATCAATCATGTCATGGTTCTTCAGCTAATGCCATATCAGATATTGTGCAAGAATTTAGAACCAGAGTGGGATAACTATCTCCTTAAACCTATCTTCCACTCCAAATTCCCATCTCCTTGTTTCCTCCGACTCTCAGATAGTGAGAAAAAGGAGGACCTGGGATGGAAAGAGAAAGAAGAGAAGGGGGGAAAGGAAGCGGAGAGGAAAGTAAAAAAACATTCAAAGCAAAATGTAAAAACTGTTTAGTTTTCCTGATATTTTATGTTCACTCTCTAATCCATATAGGAGAGGAGTCAGGCTCAGTAACTCATAATTGTCCTCTGTGACTACAGCAGTGCCAGGACAGAGTAGGCGCTCAACAAATATCACTGAAGGAACTGATGAATAAATAAATTAATGAATAAAAATTTGAGACTACAGTAGATTAACAATAGCAGATTTTACTGCCATGTATCTCTTGCCTCAGCTTTTAGAGTAAAAACAACTCCTCATTAAATTGTTTTAAAGGTACAAAGTGCTTTGCCATTAGTTGAAATTTTTGTCTGCTTTTGCCTGACTCTTCCTGATGAAAACATATAAAGGCTTGAATACAAAATAGCATGATATCACTATCACAGACTAATGTTAAGCATTCATTTTCCAGTACAATAAACAATGTACCAAAGATCGACCCCAATTTTTATACTCGTATTTCATTTCAAATCAGAACAGCATTTTTGAGAGTATTTTAATGACATACAAATTCCTAAAAATTAAACAAAATGAATTAGTAGATTAAATTCTTGAAAAGATAGCTTCAACTAAGCTCCTTAACAACAATTTCCTTGACTTTTGAAATTTAACGTCAAGCACACTGGAGTTTGAAATGGCTCCAGCATGACACGGCTCCAGCATGACAGCATGACATGGATCCAGCATGTCCCCAATTTTGTTTATGGGGACTCAAGTTAATTGTACAACTCATGTAGTGCTACAAAATAGTAGATACTTCAAAATAATCCATTAGCTTCTTGATCAGAGAAACGAACATACAAATATTTACCACATACACAAAATGCTCTATTAAGTCATTCATAAAGAAGTAATAAAACCATATAACAAGGCAGTATAAAACATGATCTCCATTTTGAAAAAAGATAAAATATTAAACAAGACATGCTATCCTAGAAACACTTTAGCTTTTTGGTATAAAATCCAACAAATTTCTTACTCCACTCTCCAGTCTTTGCCGTCAGACAAACTATATTAGACTAATCATTCATGTGCATTTTAAATGGTGCCACTTCACTGCTTAAGAATGCACAATGGTTTCTCGACAGCTTTTGTAAGATCAAATCTATATTCTTTAGCCCTCCATTATTTTGCCCCCAACTTCCATTCACCCTTTCATCCTCTTGTACCATTCTCTCAAATACTCTTCATAATATAAAGACTTACACTGACATCTACAAGGATGTACCTGCTGCTGGGGTCAGAAGATTGTGGAAGCCTTGGCAGAAAAGGCTTCTGAACATAAACAGAAAAGCAATGATACACATGATGCAAATGCACCCAGAAAATCCCATTACTGCTCCC